>NC_000009.12:62549738-62748832 GCF_000001405.40 Homo sapiens | reverse complement strand
GAATTCGGGACGATAGTTTTGCATTGCTGAGTACATTTGAAAATCACTTGAGGCCAGGTGCGGTGTCTCACGCCTGTAATCCCAGCACTTTGGAAGGCTGAGGCGGGTGGATAAACTGAGGTCAGGAGTTCGAGACCAGGCTGGCCAACATGGAGAAGTGATGGCGTGGTGGCCCGGCTTGGTGGCAGGCACCTGTAATCCCAGCTACTTGGGAGGCTGAGGCAGGAGAATCGCTTGAACCCAGGAGGAGGGGGTTGCAGTGAGCCAAGATCGCGCCATTGCACTCCAGCCTGGGAGATGGCCCAAGACTGTGTCTCAAAAAAAAAAAAAAAAGAAAAGAAAATCATCTGGATGCTGGTCAAAGCTTAAATGCTAAAAAGTTCTACCTCATGAGTTTGTTTTGCTGGTATGTGTGGAATCCACCTCTATCTTTCTCAGGCTCTCTCTCTTACTCTCTTACTCCCTCCCTCTTTCCTTCCTTCCTCCCTTTCTTCCACCCTCCCTCTGTCTCTTCCACCCTCCCTCCCTCTCTTCCTTCCTTCCTTCTTTCCTGTACATTCTCACCAGCTACAAACTTTGGACCCTCTTGACAAACGTTTTTGTGTCTTCCATGAGGATGATTACTACTAGCTTGTTGCTGATGGTAAGCCACATTTCCTGTCTCCATATTGAAGAAATGAAATGGCAGCTTGAAGGCAGCAGGACAGAGATTCGCTGCCAAACAACCAAATCAGCTGTAACTGCCTATTGGTATGGAGGACAGAAGGGCTCCAGGCTGTACCATCATTGAGATGCAGGAATTCAAGTGAGTCTTCCGTATTTGAACTGGCCTGGAGTTGGTGCTTGGGAGTTGATGGCTACTTCTATATATAACTACACAAAGAACTGGCTTAATATTAATGCTCAAGTAAACGAGTCACTAAACAAACAAGAAAAACAAGACCAAACTATGAAATCTGTTGTTAAAAGTATATTAAAATTCAGATTGAAAATGATTGAAATCAATTATTAAATATGTTTCAAAAAAAGAAAGCATGCTACATCCATTTGGTTTGTTTTCATAGGTAATATCAAACTGCTAAATATCACCTTAATTCAGTCATTGATAAATGTGTGCAATGAGGTGTAGCCCACAAAGCCTTTAATCAGTGTGACCATTCCAATATCTCATGGCCTTTAATTTTGCTTCTGTTCGGTTATCAACATTGGATGTTATAACATCAGGTGGCATGATGTGTGACATTTGTCTGTCGTTCATTCATTCCATTATTTATTGAATGCCTATTACAGCACAGAATTTGACATGGGAGTGGGAGAGTAATCGTGAACAATACTAGTAAAATGCCTGCCCTCATGAGGATTATGTTCCTGTTGTCATGAAGTTGTCATCTACTTCTAGATGATAAACAAGAAACAAATAATCAAAATGCACTCAAAGAATAATAATAAGGGCTTGAGGAAGTTAAAGCACTTTAAGAAAGTTAAAAAAAAAAAACTAGTCATGGGGCAGTGGCTAATTGAGTGGTCAGGGAGGCCTCTTCACAGAGTTCACATTTTGCTGAAAACTAAAGAAGATCCAGCCTTGAGAAGATGTGGAAAAGGGAACAGCAAATGCAAAAGCCTGATAGAGAAAGAGCTTTGGATGGTGATATTTCGGCAAGAACATCCTCAAGGCTGGAGCAGGGTGAACAGGAGGGAAACCAGTAGCATGTGGAATAGGATCAAATGAGCATTCAACTCTATTTTTCCAGGGATTGGAGAATCAGATAAGGCCCCCCATGTATGCTGTAAATAACCAAGACTGACCTTCTACATTAAAAGAGAGAGATGTGTCTTTCCTTTTGAATGTTAAAAACAGTTTAAAAGTCTTTACAAAATTACCAAAGACAAATAATATCACATATATCAAATTTATCCATTTGATTAATAATTTTTAAGATTTTGAAGATTAATAATTTTTAAAATTATTTTTATTTCATGATTTTGCATAAAGGTTGTGAGTGAAATAGATACTGTGATTGGAGAAAAGATAAGGAGACAATGTATATGTGTCTATTTGGCAGGGGGTGGGGACACATCATAATATATATTTGGCATGCATCCTATCTAGTTTCTAATTAAAACCAAAATTGGCTGGGCGCGGTGGCTCACGCCTGTAATCCCAGCACTTTGGGAGGCCGAGGCGGGCAGATCACGAGGTCAGGAGTTCAAGACCAGCCTGGCCAATATGGTGAAACCCTGTCTCTACCAAAAATACAAAAATTAGCCGGGCGTGGTGGTGGGCACCTGTAGTCCCAGCTACTCGGGAGGCTGAGGCAAGAGAATCACTTGAACCAGGGAGGCAGAGGTTGCAGTGAGCCAAAATCACGCCGCTGCACTTTAGCATAGGAGACAGAGCAAGACTCCGTCTCAAAAAAAAAAAAACCAAAATTATAATATGACTCACCACAGCAACCCATTTACATCTTCTGTTACATGGCAACAAGGAACTAAATATTAATCATAAACCCCCAAAGACATTAATCCTAGGATGTAAAGTCACTCCCTAAATCGCTACATCTTTAAGTTTCATGGGTCCACTCCTTGTCTATGGGTGATCTCTGTTGTAGAATTTGTCCCATCCCACTTCCTTGGGCTGCTTCTCTCAGTAAACTCACACATTCACTCTCTCCAATAAAATCAGAATAATGATGAAGTGGTACCACTTTCTTGCTTCATTGGCAAATAACTATGGAAGCTAAGTGTCTTGTTAAGAACTATATTAGCAGATCATAATGAGCCCTAGACTTGCTATCTCTTAAACATTGATGAAAGATAAGATGTAAAACTAGCAGTTGCTGACTTGCATTAATAAAGTGTTAAGAAGGGCGAGAGCCAAGGATTGCCACAGGGAGGAAATTAAGTAACCCGCTTACTGCATTTCCTTGGGCAACTGTAGATAAAATGTTTGGCTTGGGTAAAGAACTGTTAAAACCTTAAAATAAAATTTAATGACCCCATTTTTTAAAAACTTAATTTTTAATCAGGTTTTTAAACACAGTATAATTCCTTCAGTATGGCAGCTGTGCCATAGAGTTCACTCTATGTAATGTTTTTGTATTTAAAAAAATAGTTTGTACTTTAAAAAAATACATAGCTGTATTGACATATAGTTTATATAATGTACATTTTATCCATCTAAAAGTAAAATTCAGCCTCCCAAGTACCTGGGATTACAGGCACCTACCACCATGCCTAGCTAATTTTTAGCTAGCTAATTTTTTAGCTAGCTAATTTTTAGCTAGTATTTTTAGTAGAGACAGGGTTTTGCCATGTTGGCCAGACTTGTCTCGAACTCCTGACCTCAAGTGATCTGCCCATCTCAGCCTCCCAAAGTGCTGGGATTACAGGTGTGAGCCACCATGCCCAGCCTGTTTTGTGGTTTTGATTTATATTGTTCTAATGACAAATAATGTTGATCATCTTCCTATGAGCACACAGGCCAATCTTTGGAAAAATCTTTAGTCACATTTATTGCTCATTTTTAAACTGGGTTATTTGTCTTTTTATTATTGAGTGGTAAGTGTTCTTTATACATTCTGGATATAATATCTTAACAGATATATGATTTGCAAATATTTTCTCTCATTCTGTGTGTCGTCTTTTCAGTTTCTTGGTAGCATCTTTGGAACTACAAAAATTCTGGCCAGGCGCAGTGGCTGAGGCCTGTAATCCTAGCATTTAGGGAGGCCAAGACGGGCAGATCACCTGATGTCAGGGGTTCAAGACAAGCCTGGCCAACATGGCGAAACCCCGTCTCTACTAAAAATACAAAAATTAACCTGGTGTGGTGGTGCATACCTGTAATCCCAGCTACTGGGGAGGCTGAGGCACGAGAATTGCTTGAACCCAGGAGGCAGAGATTGCAGAGAGCCAAGATCACACCACTGCACTCTAGCCCGGGTAACAGAGTAAGACTCCACCTCAAAAAAAATTTTTTTTTCTTTAAAAAAAAATTCAATTGACAAATAATGACTGTGTGTATTTATGGGATACAATGTGATATATTCATATATGTATCAATTATAGGAAGTCCAACTTATCTATTTTCTTCTTTTGTTGCTTGTGCTTTTGGTGTCATATCTAAGAAAGCTAAAGTCAAGAAGATTTTTTTCCCCTATGCTCTCTTCTAAGAGTTTTATAATTTTATCTATTAAATTTTAGTATATATTTTTGAGGTAACTTTTTGTATAAAATATGAAGAAAGGGTCCAGTTTCAGTCGTTAGCATGTGACATCCAGTTTTCCCAACACCATTTGTTGAAAAGACTATTATTTCCATTGAACAGCCTTGGCATTCTGGTTGAAAATCAACTATTAATGTAAACATTGATTTCTAGACCCTTAGCTGTATCCCATTGGTCTATATGTGTATCCTTATGCCAGTACAAGTCTGTAATTATTACTATAGCTTTGTAGTAAATTTTGAAATAGAGAAGTGTGCATACTCCAAATTTGCTCTTCACTTTTGAGATTACTTTGACTATCAGGAGTCCCTTGCATTTCCACATGAATTTTTGGATGGGCTTGTCAATTTCCACAGAAAAGGCTGTTGGGATTTCTATAGAGACATGGTGACTGTATATCAATTTGGAAAGCCATCTTAATAATGTCTCCCAATCTCTGAACATTGGTGTCTTGTCATTTATTTACTCCTTTTTTTTTTACCTTCTTTCAAGTATGTTTTGTAGTTTTAGGGTATAACTTTTGCTCTTTTTGAATAATTAATTTCTAAGCATTTTCTTTTTTGATGCAATTATCAATGGAATTGTCTTAATTTGAAGTGTTCATTGCTAGAGTAGAGAAATACAATTTTTTTTTTTTTAATTTAAAGGAGTTTAATTGAGCAACAAACACTTCAAGAATCGGGCAGCCTTCCCAGGCAGAGTAGGCTCGGACACTCCAGCACAGTCACGCGGTGGAAGGTTTATGGACAGAAAATGGAAGTGAGGTACAGAAACAGCTGGGTTTGGCTGCAGCTTGGCATTTGCCTTATCTGAACATGGTTTGAACAGTTGGCTACATTTGATTGGCCAAAACTCAGTGATTGGCACAAGTGTAGTCTGTTTACACCTCCACTTGTCACAATATACAGACAAACTTTTAGGCCAAACTTAAATATATAAGGAGGCAGCTTTAGGCTAAACTTGATTTCAACACCTGTATTCCAACACTTTGGGAGGCCGAGGCGGGAGGATCACTTGAGCCTAGAAGTTAGAGGTCAGCCCAAGCAACATAGTGAGACCTTGTCTCTGCGAAAATAAATTAGCCAGGCATGGTAGCATGTACCTGTAGTCCCAGCTTATTAGGAGACTGAGGCCAGAGGATCATTTGAGCCCAGGAGTTCAAGGTTGTAGTGAGCTACAAGCGCGCCACTGCACTCCTGGGCAACAGAGAAAAAGCCTACCTCAAAAAGAAAAAAATAATGACATAAGCAATTATGTGGAAATAAGGTCATACCTGTCAAAGTAATCAGCTGAAAGCAGTTGCCTCTGAGGTGCAGGAAAGGGGGAAAGTGGAGATAAGGGAACTACTTTTCTTTAAAAAAAAAAAGATAAAACTAACACTTCAAGCCAGGCAAAGTGGCTCACACCTGTAATCCCAGCACTTTGGGAGGCCAAAGCGGGTGGATCACCTGAGGTCAGGGGTTCGAGACCAGCCTGACTAACATGGTGAAACCCTGTCTCTACTAAAAATACAAAAATTAGCTGGGCACGATGGCGGGCGCCTGTAATCACAGCTACTCGGGTGGCTGAGGCAGGAGAATTGCTTGAACCTGGGAGACAGAGGATGCAGTGAGCCGAGATTGCACCATTGCATTCCAGCCTGGGTGACAGAGCGAGACTCTGTCTCAAAAAAAAAAAAAAAAAAAAAAAAAAACAAAAACTAACACTTCATTACCTCTGAATGGACATTAAAAAATATTTTAATAAATAAAAAAAGATTTAATACTTCAAACTATGGGCACACAAAACCTTGATAAAAATAAAAACAAATTTAGAAATCTATTATTATTATTATTATTTTTTTTTTTTTTTTTTTTGAGACGGAGTCTCACTCTGTCGCCCAGGTCGGACTGCGGACTTCAGTGGCGCAATCTCGGCTCACTGCAAGCTCCGCCTCCCGGGTTCATGCCATTCTCCTGCCTCAGCCTCCCGAGTAGCTGGGACTACAGGCGCCCGCCACCGCGCCCGGCTAATTTTTTGTATTTTTAGTAGAGACGGGGTTTCACCTTGTTAGCCAGGATGGTCTCGATCTCCTGACCTCATGATCCACCCGCCTCGGCCTCCCAAAGTGCTGGGATTACAGGCGTGAGCCACCGCGCCCGGCTAGAAATCTATTATTAATAGGACAGCATGTTGAGAGACTTTAAAGGAGTTTTTTTTAAGTATTTTTAAAATAATCTCAAATTTATAGAAGTCTTGGAATTAAAGTACAAAGAACTTTTGTTTTGCTAAATGATTTGAAAGTTCCTGACCTGACTCCCTATAACCCCTACATACTGTATGTCTTCTATAAACAAGGACTGAATGCAATAAAATTGTAATATAGCTAGAAAAATCAGGAAATCAACATTAATAGATTTCTACCATCCAACCAACAGACCTATTCAAGTTTTGCCAAGTCAGGATCCAGTTCAGAATCACCACTGCACTTATTTCTCACGTCTCTTTCATCTTCAGTCTGGAACAGTTCTTCAGTCTTTCCTTAACTTTCATGACTTTACACTTCTATTACAGGCCAATTATTTTGTAGAATTTTCCTTAATTTGAATTTGTTGCTTTAGGATTAGATTCCAATTATGTATTATTGGCAGGAGCATCATAGAAGTGATGCTGTGTTCTTCTTGCTAGACTATCAGGAGGCACACGATTGCAATTTGTCCTATTACTGAGGATGTTCATTTTGGTTGCTTGATTAAGGTGGTGCCTGCCAGATTTTTCCACTGTGAAGTGACTTCCTTTTGTAACTAATGAATAATTTGTGAAGAGCTGCTTTGAAATGATGTAAATATCTGTTGACTTGAAAATACAACAAAATTATACTATGAATTGAATAATACATCTAAATTAATTTGCATTTTATCAATGACAACCAGATCCACATACTTTTGTAAAACAGTTGCTGGTGTGTGTGCGCAACAGGTTGTTGACTTAGGCAATGTGTGGAATGTTCTGGATTCCTAGACCCCGGGCAGTAGCTCCAAGACAGTTTTGAACTTTCAAGTAAGACAAACTTAGTTTTGATTTCCAGTTGTACACTTAGAAGCTATGGATGGTAGATACTTTGTTGGGGAAAATGGCAGCAATTCTCACTCCCTGTGTCTACCCCTTTGGTTGTCCCCTTCCATACCGGCTGGCCATGCCCTTGTGACCTGCTTTGGCCAATGGGAGAATAGCAAATATGACAGAAGTGAGACATGGGAAGTTCTTGTGTTGCTGCCCTTATGCTGCTTTTGAAACTCAACCCCTATGTTCAAGCTCTCCTGGATAATGAGACTTGTGGTCGCATTCCCATCACCCAGCTGACGATGAGCTCCTCCTGTCCCTAAAATATGAGGCCCCTTAGCCATCCAGCCCCCATCCAGTTATTGAGAAACAAGTATTACCTGTTTGAAATCATAAACGGGTGGTTTATGATGCAGCAAAAACTAACTTACATACAACATGACCTCATGTGGGTTTCTTAATTTCTCTCAGTCTCAGCTTTCTCATCTATAGGATGGAGATAAGGCAATCAACCTTGCTATTTAGAGGATTAAATGAGAAAATATATGCAAAGTGCTTGGCATAGCATAAATACTCAACACATATGGTAATTTTTTAAAAACCCTCTATATTAGTCCCTTTTAATTAAAATTTTAATTAAAACAAAAGAAAAACAAAACAAAACAAAAACCTCTGCTGGGTGGACGAGGGGCAGCCCTCAGGCTAGATGCACTGATTTAGTACTTTTAATAGTGGCAGGAGTCAGACAAGCCCGTAGGCAGATAGTGGCATGTCCCCAATGAAATCCAACTTTCAAACCAAAGGCAGTTTAAAGCCCGAAAGCTAAGCTACAAGTCTTGGATAAATCCATGGACCGAGCTGAGAACATCTCTTCCTGTTGGTGCACTTTCCTCTGACTGATCCCCACCCTTCACTTACTTTACATATATCTACCCTTCCCTAGGTGGTTTTCTACACTGTCATGCCACCTTTGAATGGTTCCTTTGTTTTAGCCTTTTTTGTATACTCGTAAACCAATCAGCATGCAGTCCCCACTTCTGAGCCCATAAAAGCCCCGGACCCAGCCACGCTGAGAGAGAGACCACCCAACTTCAGGTCAGGGACCACCCTTGCATCCCCTCTCCGCTGAGAGCTGTTTCATTGCTTCATAAAACTCTTCTCTGCCCTTTTCACCCTTCCATTGTCAGCAAAGGGTATGAAGAAGGCAGTAACACCATAGCCCTCCACCCCTCCCCGACTATCTGTGCCCAGTGGCAGCCCCTTGCCATGAGAGGCAGTGCAGGGCCAGGCCAGCCAGGGAGCCTCCGGCAGGAGCAGGCAACAGGACTGACAGAGTTGTTAACACAACCCCCATTCATTGTTAACATGCCCGTTTGTCAGGCTGCTGACGGTGGGACTAAAAGAGCTGTTAGCATGGCTGTAACATCCCCTCTGGGGCTTCAGAGTCGAGTGCTTTCCTGTTTGGGCGCCACCAAGTTCCCTTCATCTGCATGCCAGAGTTCACCCCCGGAGTCACTTCCGACAGGCCTGATCCAGCTGCAGGCCCCAAAGGGAGCCCGCTCCTGTGCCAGCACTTGGAGTTGCTGGCAAGATGAGGCACTCACTTGATCACACACCCCCTCCTACTGGGGCTGAGCATGCAGTCTCGGTGGCTGCAGGATCCCCACCAGAGTGCAAGCCCAAGTGGGCAGGGCACCTCCTGCCTGGGGCAGAGCTAGGCATGGGCAGGGGCATCGCCAGCCAGAAGTCTGCAGTTGGAAAAGTGTCCGAGAAAAATCCTGCGTCACTTTGGAAGCAGTCTTCCTATCCTAGAATGCCAGAGGGCAAGCATCTGAAAGATCTGGAAGGATGAGGCAGCAAAGGCCACGATGTGAATGTACACTGCCCCTGTCAGAGGTGATCGAACCAGAGCGATTCCATCTTGAATAGGGGCTGGGTAAAATAAGGCTGAGACCTGTGAGGCTGCATTCCCACTAGCTTAGGCATTCTAAGTCAGGATGAGATAGAAAGTCCGCATAAGATACAGGTCACAAAGACCTTGCTGATAAAACAGGATGCAGTAAAGGAGCCAGCCAAAACCAAGATGGTGACGAAAGTGACCTCTGGTCATCCTCACTGCTCATTATATGCTAATTATAATGCATTTCCATGCTAAATGACACTCCTGCCAGTGCCAGGACAGTCTACAAATGCCATGGCAACATCAGGAAGTTACCCTATAGGGTCTAAAAAGAGTAGGAACCCTCAGTTGCAGGAATTGCCCACCCCTTTCCCGGAAAACTCATGAATAATCCACCCTTTGTTTAGCATATGATCAAGAAATAACTGTAAGTATAGTCAGTCGAGCAGCTCCTGCCGCTGCTCTGCCTATGGAGTAACCATTCTTTCATTCCTTTATTTTCTTAATAAGCTTGCTTTCACTTTATGGACTTGCCCCAAATTCCTTCTTGCAGGAGGTCCAAGAACCCTCTCTTGGGGTCTGGATAGGGACCCTTTTCCAGTAACATCCCCATCACAGCCCTAATCACTAGGGGACCCTCTAGGCTCTTCCTGCCCTCCCCAGACTGTCTCCCTTAAACATGCTGGATGCAGGGGTGCATCAGTGACTCCGCTGGTGCCTCCAGGAAAATAAAGTGTGGACCTCTGTGGACAAGAAACAACCCAAAGTAAAGACGACTCCTCACAGGCAGGATGGATATCCAGTTGTATGTATGTCGGTGTGCTGGGGCCGGGAGGCTCCTAATAACAATGTTACCGCTGCTTCACGTGGAAGAAAGCTGAGGCTCAGAGAGATTAAGGAACTTGTCCAGGGCCATACCGGAGTCCAGGCCTGTGTGCTGTCATGGTCTGAGGTTTGAACTCCAACCGTCTAAGGAGCTGGGATAGAACTGGGGAGGGAGTGTGGTGGGTGGGAACAGCGGGCAGATAGATGCTGGCTGGTCTCCGAGGAGCCTAGGTTCTGCCAGAGGGACAACAGGTGAGGAAAACAGGCCTCGGGGTGGATGAGTGAATACTCAGAGGATGGGCGCAGACCCGGAGGGCCGTGAAAGGTGACAGGGTTATTACAGTCTTGGTTGCATAAGGGGGTAACTAGCGGTTTCTTGGCTGAAAAAGAGGAGGGGGGCTACAGCTTCCCCCCTCCAAGGGCGGAGCACGCAGCCGCTCAGCAGGCTGCCACACAGGGTCCCCCACCTCCGCAGCTGGGGGACCTGAACTCGCCAATAGGAGGTTCCTCCTGCACGCGCGGCTTCACCCTCCCTCCAGGGCTCCCGTTGCATTTCACTCCCTGCCTAAGGTCGCCCGCCGGTGAGGGCGGAGGAGGAAGAACTGCAGCTCCTGAGGACAGAATCTGCTTCAAGGCACCCTGACCGGCGCCCAACCCCACCCCGGCTGCGGCCCGCCGCCCTGATCCCCATCGCGCTGCACGGTCTTCCCTTCCAACACCGAGGGCGCTGCAAGGACGCCCTGTCCCTGCCACTCATTCATATTAATGACTCCTCCCACCATGCTTTCCTCAGGTGTGTTCCGACCGCTCTGCCCGAAACATTTTCATCCCACATTCTTACGGCCACCTCTCCCCAAGTTCCCTTCCGTCTGGGCAAATCTTGTCCTTTACCCGGCACTGGGGTCGCTCCAGAGCTTTCAAACCAGCTTCCCCAGGGCGCTGTGCAGGGCCGGGCCCCTACAATTTTTGTATATTGATCTTGTACCTTGCTGTCAGGCTGAACTTGTTTATTAGTTCCAATAATTTTTTTTAGTGGCATTGTTGGGGTTTTCTATATAAAGGTAATGTCATCTGCAAGTAGAGCTAATTTTACCTCTTCCTTTCCAATCTGAATGCCTTTACTTTATTCTTCGTTTAATTATCTTATCTTGGCTAGAACCTCCAATACAATGGTAAATAAAAGAGGTAAATGTGCTGCAGTGAGTGCTTAAAGTTTTATGTTGCCTTAGCATCCATTTTCAAATATGTGTTTAACTTTCTCAAACCAGAAGCAGGGTTCAGTCACCCTTGATGCAGTTTCCTGTACTATACCCCCCAAATGGCTCCAGGTGGTGACCAGAAATAAAAACTTGGAGGCATCTCTGTCTCGTAGCAGGCTGGGCTCCCAGCTTTCCTGCTGCTTCCTCTAAACAGACCATTTAGACACTTTTCAGTCACAATGTGACTTCCTAGTACTAGTGCCTGCTTGCTTTAAGCCCATCAATTTAAAGCTCCCTGTTTATATAATGCCCTGGACCCAATAAAGGCATTGACCTCCTTGTGTGTGTGTGTGTTTTCTAAGCATGCTGTGTGCCCCCCAGGGAACTTTCACACTGTGGTCATGTCATTGAAGCCACATCTGCAATCTGACCCATGCAGGTGGATCTCCTGCTGCTGCGCTTCTGTCTGGGTCTCTGGTGGCTGCAGAAACAATGGCTACAAGCTGAGCAGATAAAGAAACTCAGAGAGTTCATTCTAAACAAGTGAACAACCTCTTCTTCCTGATCTAAGGCAAAAAGCATTTAACCTTTCATCATTTATTTCTCCACAAGTGTGGCATGTCATCATTGCCACTCACTGACCCACACACTCATGGTTCATAGCCTGAGAAATAGTTTGCAAAGGCATATTTACCTTCATTGAAACCTTAGAAAACATATATAAAGGCAGTTCAAAAATCAACCTTAAAATATGCCATAAAAAGACAGAGAGAGGTAAGAAGATACTCATGAAATCAGTCATTGTCTCAAACAAGAATAATTTTAGAGAAAGTGGATTGGGTCCTTCTTTCCCTGGTTCTCTTGCTTTTTTCTATTCTCTTCTGCGAGCAATAATCCTTTTGTCTGGCTTCTTCATTATTTCAAAGGAGAAAGTACAATATGAGCATGCATTCACCTATACTGTCAATTCCAGAAAAAAATAGCAGAGTTAAATATAAATGGACCTTAGTCATATTTAACCATTGCTCTCCTTGACAATCCAAAGCTTAATAAAGTACATCTCTTTGCATTTAGAAATTCATATATTCATACTCATACTGTTAACCTACTAAAATAAAAAAGTAGATGGAAATAATATACATGGAGCTAAAGTCAATATTAAATAGTCCCAGACATATGGTTTGTGACTAATTATTAAACATAATATATGAATTCTTCCGGTGGGTTATACAATTTTAATTGGTTGATTAAAGGACCATTCTATTCTTCAAAGGAGATAATCATGCTAAATTTTAAGAAAAATTACAGTGGAGGTATTAATTTATTTATGTCTTTATAAAAATGTAATATAAAATGTTTATGCAAAGGAGGCCTGTGAGAGAGGGGAGTGTCAGGGTTTAATAAGATATTTGGAGTAGTTTCATCCCATGACCACACATGTTCTGCTTTACCATCTGCAATCTCATTAGCTGTCCATGAAGATGCTGTGCTGAATGTAGACCTGAAATTTAGACATAAGCACTCACATATATGAAATATACATTGCTAGAGGAGCAAATAAACAAAGAAGAAAAACATTTTTTGATTTGTGGCTTCACTTTTGAACAATAACCAAAAATATTCTACATGCTTGAAGGAAAAAAAAACTCATTTTATTCTTATGAGACCAAAGGATTTTATTCTTACGAGACCAAAGGAAATGACAACAGAAGGTGAAATACAATGCAACTAGCCTGGGAAATCTTTCTGCTTGGTTCAGCTGGGCCATGGACAATTTCAAAACGAAGCAATGTGAAAACAGCACATTAATGAATGGATGGATAAAGAAACATGGAGAGAAGATACATTACTTTGGCTACCAGAGGTACAAATGCAAAAAGATTCTCCACTTTTGACTAGTAGAACTGATGATGGATTTAAAATCAGCTGCACACTGAGGGATTTTTGTTCAAGTGTAACATAAATTGTGTTACAATATGAGGATAAAATATGTTATTTTGGGCTATGTTTTAGTGCATAAACACTAACAACATTAATGAAATAATAATTTACTTGAAAGATGTTTAATCTATTTGTAAATAGCTCTGTCACCTGCTGAATGGCTTTCATATGTTTCAAGTAATATTTAATTTCTAAAGAGTATCCTAGACTTTACTCTGAGGATTTATTATATTAACTCTCTCAAAGAGCCCTTATATCGTAAAGAGAGTGTTATCTAGAAAACAAACCTCCTGGGTGTCACACGTTGCTAGTTATGATATTGCTTAAGGTAAAATGGGAAAATTACAGCCCAAGGCTATTTCCCAGTTACCTCTGCTTAGGGACAATAACTGAACGACCCCACAGAAAACACGTTAGGGTAGAAGGGGCCTGTTTTCCAGGAATTCCTGCTTCTTCATGTTAAGTACCCTCCCAACCAAGTGAAAGCGAAGACTTCTTAGTAGAAAGGCAAATTCAGCAAACTACTTTCCTTTTTTATCTGAGATAAAAATTAAGTGAGTCTTTGTGTTTTTGTGTATTTATGTTCTCAAGTTTTGCCCTTGTTTATTTTCTGTTCTTTATTAATGAATCAGTAGTTCCATTCTTGAGTTGTTTTGAATTATTTCACCTGGAAGAAGACAAATTTAAGAAGTCCTAGTAAGTAAGCATGAAAAGGGGTCTTAAATGAGTATCAGGAATCAAATGCACTGAGTCCTCGGGTGAGTATTCAACCCCTGGGGACTAAGTAATCCTTTCCACTGCCTCTATTTTATTTCTCTTGAAGAACATAAAAATCTAACAAAAGTGCTTAGCTATCCAAAATTATCAAATATTGAAAGAATGATTTTTTTTCCACATCAAACAAAATTTAGTTAAATGGTAGTTTCCACATAGATATAAAATGTTGAGCAGCATTAGAGATTAACCCTGTGAGGTGGGGGAGATAAAGAAAGGTTTAGTGGTGGTACAATTAGCTGAGGAGTCAAGAGAAATAGAAAACAAAAAATCTTCTATTTTGTCTTCTTTGGATCATGAATCCATTGTTATGTTTTATTTTTATTAAACAATTATTTCCCATGCTGGAAGAGTGAAAGAGTTGAGCCATCCTAAGGAACTTAAGGTGTGACAATTTACAGAGAAGAATAGTTGTAACATTGCTCATTTACTCTGAGTATAAACATGAAAAATAGTTTTAAAAATACGGTGAAATAATTTATTCCACAGAGAAGTCATGGAGCTCTCTTACACATCATATTGTATACTAATAGCTTTGGGTGGGTGGTCTTCAGGTGATAGCACAGAAATGGAGTACAAATTTGCAGGGAAATGACACAAATTGAATCAGGCTTCAGTTTACCAGCTACTGATTGCTATTAACAGGGCATTTTGATGTGAGTCTCCACTAAGCATGTGAGTTAGAAAATAGCTCTAAAGACCATCCTTGATGGATCATTACTTTGAGATGCAAACCCCAGATTGCATTATTAAAACATCTTGGAATCAATTCTGTGCATTTCCAAATAAGCTCTGGCATGCATATGACCACATCATTAATACAGTTTACTTCTCTGGATCCTAGACTCTTTTTTTTCTTTTTTTTTGAGATGGAATCTTACTCTGTGCCCAGGCTGAAGTGCAGTCGGCTCACTGCAAGCTCCGCCTCCCAGGTTCACGCCATTCTCCTGCCTCAGCCTCCTGAGTAACTGGGACTACAGGCACCTGCCACCACGCCTGGCTAATTTTTGTATTTTTAGTAGAGACGGGGTTTTGCCATGTTGGCCAAGCTGGTCTTGAACTCCTGACCTCAGGTGATCCACCCACCTCGGCTTTGAGAACAAGAACACCATATCTGCTGGTCTCAAACTCTTCACCTCAGGTGATCCACAGTCCTCAGCCTCCCCAAATCCTAGGATTACAGGCGTGAGCCACTGCACCCAGCCAAAAAAACTGATGCTATTTTCTATACACCTTGCACCTTATGGATGTGCCTACCAGAGATCTGGATTATAACCCTACCTTGTCACCATAAAAAATTCATTCCTATTGGACACTGACATGAAAGCCTTATGTTACGTTTTGTGATTAAGCAGTTTTCTCTTACAGCTTATTTACAAGGGAAAGAGAAAGGAAACAAGAAATAGTTTCAAAAAAACAGCCAAAATTTCAGTAATCATTAAAATCAACACAATTAAATACTCTTTTTTTGGAATGAAATTTCGCTCTTGTTGCCCAGGCTGGAGCACAATGGCACAATCTCAGCTCACTGCAACCTGTGCCTCCCGGGTTCAAGCAATTCTGCCTCAGCCTCCTGAGTAGCTGGGATTGCAGGCGCCTGCCACCACGCCTGGCTAATTTTTGTATATTTAGTAGAGACAGGGTTTCACCATGTTGACCAGGCTGGTCTTGAACTTCTGACCTCAGGTGATCCACCCGCCTCGGCCTCCCAAAATGCTGGGATTACAGGCGTCAGCTACCACTACCAGCAATTAAATACTCTTTTTAAAAGCCTTGAGGGAACCGTGTAAAGATCTCAAAACTCTAAGATATTTTCACATCCTGTCCCCACATTCCAAGGTTAGGAAGATTGAGAAGGTATTCATTTACTATTAGTTATTTATTTTATTGTTATTTATATTAAAAATCTCAAGGCAAAATATTAGGTGATTATCCCAAAAGATTACATTAAAGCATATTCCATAATTAAATATACATTTCAAATTTAGAAGTTAGTTTTAAAAGCTCATCAGTTAAGGTCTGGAACATAAAAAACATTTCATAAAATTAAGGTTTCGGCCGGGGGTGGTGGCTCATGCCTGTAATCCCAGCACTTTGGGAGGCCGAGGTGGGTGGATCACGAGGTCAGGAGATCGAGACATTCCTGGCTAACACAGTGAAACCCCATCTCTACTAAAAATACAAAAAATTAGCTGGGTGTGGTTGCGGGCGCCTGTAGTTCCAGCTACTTGGGAGGCTGAGGCAGGAGAATGGCGTGAACCCGGGAGGCGGAGCTTGCAGTGAGCCGAGATCGCGCCACTGCACTCCAGCCTGGGTGACAGAGACTCCATCTCAAAAAGAAAAAAAAAAAATTAAGGTTTCACTGATCCTCTGTCCCAGCAGTTCTAATCCCACGAGAACTAAAAAACATAGGTTCACATGAAAACTTATGATAGTTCAAGGCATCTTTATTTCTAACATCTAAACATCCCAGCTGTCCATCAATAAGAAAATGGGCTAACAAATGGTATACAATGGAACAGTACTCACAATAAAAAGAATCAACTTTTTTTTTGTTTTTTTTTTGAAGGAGTCTCACTCTGTTGCCCAAGCTGAAGTGCAAGTGGTGAGATCTCGGCTCACTGCAAGCTCCACCTCCGGGTTCAAGCGATTCTCCTGCCTCAGCCTCCGGAGTAGCTGGGATTACAGGTGCCCGCCACCACACCCGGCTAATTTTTGTATTTTTAGTAGAGACAGGGTTTCACCATGTTGGCCAGGATGGTCTCAAACTGCTGACCTCAAGTGATCCACGTGCCTGGGCCTCCCAAAGAGCTGGGATTACAGGCGTGAAGCCACTGTGCCTGGCCAAGAATCAACTTACTGATAAACACAACAAGACAGCTGAATCGCAAATAATAGTATGCTGAGGGAAAGAAGCTTTTAACAAATGCCTACCTGCCTGCCCTCCTTCCTTTTCTTCTTTTATGTTTTTAACCTGGCTTAATTTTCTTGGCTTCATTATTTTAAGCAATTTTTGCAGTGTTGAAAAATTTGCAAGTAAGTTTTCAGAAACAGTTAACTTCAAAATCCTACACATGCTATACATGAAGACAGTAAAAACATGGATGGAAAGAAATAATCAGTTTATTTACATTTTCTGTTTATATGATAAGTAGTAATTTAGCTGAGGTTGACAATTCATTTAAATGAGATAAAAGTCATTTACATTGTCTCTGTGGCTGTTTTCACGATACAAAGGGATGCAAAGGTAGGGTGTTACTGAGCAAACAATGGGCTTGCTGCCTAATGTACATGGAGGCCAAGACCATGGCACTGGCTTTTGAGGAAAAAAAAGCTTCATTGCAAGTGGACTGGCAAGGAGACAGGAGGAAGTGCTCCAATATATCACCCCCAGCTGACGTTTGGGTCGGGTTTTATAAGCATAGGGTAATGAGGTGTGATCTGATTGAATTCTGCAATGAGATGATGCCAGGAGGCATGATCTGATTCGATTCCACAATGGGCTGATGCCAGAGCTCAATTTGATTGGATCCTGGATCCTTCCATACTGCGTCTGCTTCTTAATTCAGTCCCTGCTCTTTGGTCTTCTCCTTGGTCTGGGCACTTCTGTTCCCCTTGTGGTTGCATACTTGGTTCATCTGGGCATGCTCAGTTTACATGACCTTCAGCCTGAGGGCTCAGACCAACTCATAACTTTGTTGGATTAAAGTTTAGCCAGATTTGTCTGGCGCTGTTGCAGGTAGAGCAGTTGTGACAGAGACTATGTTGCCCTCAAAGCTGAACATATTTACAGTGGTGCACCCTTATCCACAGGGGATTCCTTCCAAGATCCTCAGTGGACACCTGAAATCTTCAGTAGTACAGGACACCATACATATTGTGTTTCCTTTACATATATATTTATAATAAAGTTTATAAATTAGGCACGGTAAGAGATTAACAACAATAGCTACTAATAACATAGAACAATTCTAACAATAAGCCAGCATCACTATTCTTGTGCTTTGGTGCCATTATTAAGTAAAATGAGGGCTCCTTAAACACAGCACTGTGATACCTCAACAGTCAATCTGATAACTCAGAAGGCTACTAAGTGACTAACGGGCAGGTAGCGTATAAGGCATGGATATGCTAGACAAAGTGGTGATTCATGTTCTAGGAGGGACACTACTCAAAACAGCATATAATCTAAACTTATATATTATTTATTTCTAGAATTTTCCATTTAATATTTTCAGACCACAGTTGACCACATTTAACTGAAACCACAGAAAGTGAAACCATGGATGGGGGAACTACTCTATACCATATCATCTGTCACCTTACAGAAACTGTTCACTGATCCCTTTTGTAGACTAAAGAGTCATAAAGATTTCTCACTATGTGAGATAGAATAATTTTTAAAAGCGTAAGTTTCAGTTTACACTTTTAAGTTCCAAGTTCCCTCTATGACTGATCATCTGACTTTGCATGAGTCACACAAGCTGAGTCCAGCTGTCCCCAGCCACTGAGATGCAGATACTAACAAGCACCTCTACTCAGTTCCCAATCTGTCAAGTGTGCAGTGAGCATCTAAGGTCAAGAATACATTTCAATGATCACAACAGCTGGTGCTGAGAATACCATCAAAATATAAATAATGGCCTTGACAATGTAACTGAGAAGACTAGTATATTTGAAACATGGGAGGCAAACTCAAGACAGAATATAAATACATTTAATTACTAAGTCACGTAGTAAGTTTTGGTATATCCATATAGTGGAATATTTTAGCAGGCATTAAAAATGATATTTTTCGGCCAGGCACAGTGGCTCACGCCTGTAATCCCAGCACTTCAGGAGGCCAAGGTGGGCGGATCACGAGGTCAGGAGATTGAGACCATCCTGGCTAATACGGTGAAACCCTGGCTCTACTAAAAATACAAAAAATTAGCCGGGCATGGTGGTGGGCGCCTGTAGTCCCAGCTACTCGGGAGGCTGAGGCAGGAGAATGGCATGAACCCAGGAGGCGGAGCTTGCAGTAAGCCAAGAAGGCGCCACTACACTCCAGCCTGGGCGACAGAGCCAGACTCCATCTCAAAAAAAAAAAAAAAGATATTTTTCAAAGAAATACGTTTATGGTGGTTTGGTTTTAATTGAGATACATAAATACTGCTTCAATTTCTGTAATGGCTGTGAGATGTTCCTGTTTTAACTCCCTTCTTGGGAAACTATTTCTGTTTGCAGATGACATAATCCTATATCTAGAAAATGCCATCATCTCAGCCCAAAAGCTTCTTAAGCTGACAAGCAACTTCAGCGAAGTCTCAGGATACAAAATCGATGTGCAAAAATTACTAGCATTCCTATACACCAACAACAGGCAAGCCAAGAGCCAAATCACGAATGAACTCCCATTCACAATTGCCACAAAAGAATAAAATACCTAGGAATACAGCTAATCAGGGAGCTGAAAGACCTCTACAAAGAGAACTACAAAACATTGCTCAAAGAAATCAGAGATGACACCAAAAAATGAAAAAACATTTCATGCCCATGGATAAGAAAAAAACAATATCATGAAAATGGCCATACTGTCTAAAACAATTTATAGATTCAATGTTATTCCCATTAAACTATCATTGATATTCTTCACAGAATTAAAAAAAACTATTTTAAAATTCACATAGAACCAAAAAAAAAAAAAAAAAGCCCAAATAGCCACAACAATCCTGAGCGAAAAACACAAAGCTGGAGGCATCACACTACCTGACTTCAAACTATACTATAAGGCTACAGTAACCAAAACAGCATGGTACTGGTACAAGAACAGACACATAGACCAAGGGAACAGAAACGATAACCCAGAACTAAGACCACAGACTTATAGCCATCTAATCTTCAACAAACCTGACAAAAACAAGCAATGGGGAAAGGATTCCCTATTTAATAAATGGTGTTGGGAGAACTCTGGCTAGCCATATGCAGAAAATGGACCATATAGAAAAATCAACACAAGATGGGTTAAAGACTTAAATGTATAACCCAAAATTATAAAAATCCTAAAAGAAAACCTAGTCAATACCATTCAGGACACAGGTATGGGCAAATATTTCATGATGAAATGCCAAAAGCAATTGCAACAAAAGCAAAAATTGACAAATGGGATCTAATTAAACTAAAGAGCTTCTGTACAGCAAAAGAAACTGTCATCAGAGTGAACAGACAAGCTACAGAATGGGAGAAAAATTTTGCAATCTATCCATCTGACAAAGGTCTAATATCCAGCATCTACAGGGAACTTAAACAAATTTACAATAAAAAAACAAACAACCCCATTAAAAAGTGGACATTCTTTTCACTCTAGGAATCTCTGATTTGTCTCTGGCACTTTCAAGAATTTGTATTTTTCTTTGTCATCTGATGATTCATTAAAATGTATCAAGGTGTTGGAGATTTTTTTTTTCATACTGCTTGTAGATTTTTTTGCTTTCCTTCCTAAATTCATGTTCTTAGCCTATTGTGACTCGGCTATATGCAAGAAGTCTGGCTCAGCCTTCCCAACATTTTATGTGTCCAAGGCCTACTTTTACTTTCCCCTGAGTAGTTGTTAATACCCCAAACTCTGGGTAACCCAGGTCAGTTTCTGTTCCCCAGGCAACTCTAGCTCCTGTACTGCTTTTATCTATTTCTGGATTGCCATCAGGGCTTCCTTGAGAGCTTCACATTTACTTAAAAGTAGACTTGATATAATTTCCTGATATTTTGTAGAGCTACAAGGCTTTTTAGGAAACCCAGTTTGGCCAATTGACAGAAATGGAAGTCCAACTTTGGTGGGAAAACTATTATTGTCAATCACTTTATATAGAATGAAACAGTGGTGCAGAGACATGACTTTGAATTATGCAAGGTCAAAGTGCCAACATACTTCAGATGTAGAACTTAAAGTCAACAAATCTGAAACCAACGTTAATGTGTTCCTCAATACTTCAGTGAATACAATTACGGATAGCAAGGTGAGTAACCTAAAGCAAAAACAAGGGACTACTTTACTCCTTGTGTTTCGTCCTATTCCATAACATAGTTTGTGTTCTTGGAACTGTAAACTTCGTCTTTTTAACTACTTGCCACATGGTAAAACTGACAATCATGAAATATGTCACGTTATCCTGTGACTTAGAATGTCTGGTGGGGCATCACTCCACTCTTCTGGAGAGAACATGTATGACAGTTTGAAACATTCAAAATGTGCTGTTCTTTGCAGTCAGGAAAGAACTTCAGGGCAGGACAGAAAGAAATCAGTCACAACATTTCAGATATTGGTGTTAGAAGGAGTTATTTAGGGAGTTATTTAGAGATAAGACATACTTCCTGGCTCTGTTGAAATCACATTGTGTAAGAAGCTGCCTATTTCATTAATACATAAAGCCAGCCTTCCTTTACAAGTAGAGGCTACATTATCCCTGATTATGCTTTATTTTTAAAACGTGAACTTGAGGAAAGAGACTCAGGCCTGTATCATACACTTTCCTTAGTTTTTGTTTTGTCAGAAGCATATTATTAACAAGTAGTCTCTTTCAAAAAGACAAGATACAAACGAGTAGAAAAAAATCCATTCTCTTATCTCATGATGGTTAGATTATTTAAGAGTTGAAGTGATTGCTATGTCATTTGCATAAATTCAAGGACTTTTATTTATTTATTTATTTATTTATTCATTTTTGAGATGGAGTCTCGCTCTGTCACCTAGGCTGGAGTGCGGTGGCGCGATCTCGGCTCACTGCAAGCTCTGCCTACCGGGCTCATGCCATTCTCCTGCCTCAGCCTCCTGAGTAGTGGGACTACAGGTGCCCACCACCACACCTGGCCAATTTTTTGTATTTTCAGTAGAGACGGAGTTTCATCCTGTTAGCCAGGATGGTCTCGATCTCCTGACCTCGTGATCCGCTCACCTCAGCCTCCCAAAGTGCTGGGATTACAGGCGTGAGCCACCGCGCTTGGCCAAATTCGAGGACTTTTCTCTCTCAATTGCTTACAATTAAAAATTTTGTAGTAGCACATGCTCACAGATTTGGGGCTTTCAGAAATGTCTTTTCAAACTAAAAACTTTTAAAATAAATAATATTGCAGATATTTAAAATAATAATATTTCTAGATTGCAGAGGAAATACAAACTCCCAATTAATCATACCAAATATATTCTATGTTCTTTAACTTCTGGTAGAAAAAAAATCAGATTTATACTTTATATCTTCCTGTATTTTAGAAAATAGCAGACAATGAGAGAAGATAATTCTCTAATGAGATATTTGGGATCCAACACGGAATAAATGTCTGTATCTTAATTTTAAATTTTTACTATATAATTATTGATATCTTTTCCTAAAAGGGGAAATCCCTTACTCTAATTTTGAGATTGATATTTAGAATAATTGCTAAACTAAATAGTAGACTTGAAAAAGCTTTGCTCATAAAATTCTTACAGATTTATTTTATTTTACAGAAGTGGTAATGGTAATTAACAAAAATTCTTAAGTGTAATAAATTCATTTTGGTAGATTTTGGTATGTAAATGAGAAAACAGTCTTCTAACTATAACAAATTATTTAGCTTAGTCTGTCATATAAAATTCAGTGAAAAACTAAAAAAAAGTAACAAAGAACTGAGCCTATTCAAATTATATGTAAAGTTTGTGCACAGTATATAAAACTAAGTTAAGTAGGCTTACAAAATAACACTTCATATAGTATTTTGGGGAAACTCTTTCTCCAAGAGGAGAAAAAATAGCCAAATAGGAAAGAGAGTGCAAGGTTTTTAATCAAGTGTGTCTCTTCCCTTGGCTTGTGTGGGAAGATTGTAGATGGGATTACTAGGATCAGATTTAGAACACTGATCTGATGTCAATGACCTAAGTCAGCATAGCCAGCAAAGTAATATTTCCAGATAAAGAGAGAAAAAAAATTCTCCTAGATAAGAAAAAAACAACAGGGTGCTCTCAAAACCAGCACTGTAATCACCACTGAGCTAATTAGTAGGACATTTAAGGCCAAGGCACCATGGAAAGGCCAGAAAGAGACAAAAGTCAATAAAAATGGTCACTGACGACAGAGTCACAGTGCCTGGCTGACAGATGGTGCTGAAAATCTCTGAGAGATGAGGACGACTTCAGATAAGAGCGGTCCAGGGAAGATACTCAGTCATTGACAAAGCACAATGGGAAGGGTCAGTAAAAAGATCAATAACAGAAGGAAACAGCTGCCACATTCATCATTCTTAACGTCAAGGTTGACATTGGATAAATGGAGTTGGCCTTTTTTTTTCTTTTTTTTTTTTACAATAGTTTAGTGCAGAAACCTCTAAAAGGAGCTTGTACATGAAGAACTGAAGTGAGAAGCCTAGCCATTTGTATACCTTTTAGTAATAGAGACTGAATATTAAAACAGACAGTGGCCAAACCACGTACGACAATGGAACTCTGACCCACAACCACTGCAGCAACCAGCTTGGGAAGGCAAACCACAATCTCTGCAGCAGCCAGTTCAGGAATGCAAGCCACAAATTCAGTAGCAATTTGCCGAAAACAATCAGAGGTTGGTCAATGACTGCCAACTTCTCTAAGATTGCCCCTGCTTCTAGTTTAGTACTAATTAAAGAAAGCCAAATACTCTCTCCAAACCTATCCCATCAGATGCCTTGCTTCTCTTTAGCCTACCTGCGCCTCTCCATGCCCATAGCCTCCTACCCCAAAGCCTTGCCCCTTTTCACTATAAAGCTTTCCCATTCTCCCAGCCTGAGTCTCTGTCAAACATAAATGATAGTGACTGCCTCCCTTTCTCTAGCAAGCAAGAAATAAATAGCTTCTGTTCTCATTAAGTTGTCTCCTTTATTTCTGTAATTTTCTGTTTTTTTTTAATTTTTTAATTTTTTTGAGACTGAATCTTGCCCTGTCGCCCAGACTGGAGTGCAGCAGCACGATATGGGCTCACTGCAATCTCTGCCTCCCAGATTCAAGAGATTCTCCTGCCTCAGCCTCCCAAGTAGCTGAAACTACAGGCATGTGCTACCACACCTGTCTAATTTTTGTATTTTTTGTAGAGACAGGGTTTCACCATGTTGGCCAGGCTGGTCTCGAACTCCTGACCTCAGGTGATCCACCTGCCTCAGCCTCCCAAAGTGCTGGGTTTATAGGCATGAGCCACCATGCCTGGTCTGTATTTCTGTAATTTTCCTAGAAGCTCCACTGAGACACATTCTTAACTGCTCATCACTATGGACTTTGGACCCTGATCAAGTGTGCTATCTATGGAGGCCTCTTGTGCCTTGCTTCTTGAGGCCTGTCAAGTCTGTGTTGACACAGTGTCTGTGAGAGAACAGAGTTGGGCTTCAACTCTGTTCTCTTTGTATTGAGATCCTTGGTTATTGACTATCAGCTTGGTACTCAGCTTTTGCTACCAATTCCCATTTGTTTGGCACCCTTGGAAAAATACTGCCATTTCTTTTCATTCCTTTTTGTTCTCTTTTGTGCTTCTGTTTTATGAGATACGTCTAAAGTGTTGTCTGTTATCAGAAGGAGAATCAGTGCAGAACACAGGCTTTGCTCCTCTAAGAGTGTCTCAGCTTGCTCCACAACTGATGAGCTGCAATTCTTACCAAACCAGCATCCATCTGGACAAACTTTCCTAAACTTTCCTGTCAGTCACCAATAAAATGGGATAAGGTTCTTCATCTTTTTTTTTTTTTTTTTTTTTTTTTTTTTTTTTTTTTTTTTGTGGCCCTGAGAGGTTGGATTTGATGCAGAGGGAATATTCTGGTTTTCCATTTGCCTGTGGGCACAAGTTGTCAAGTCTGCATTTGGAGGCTGCCAACTATCAGGTTGGGGGCCTAAGACATAAAGTGCACAAATATTACTTTCAACTGACCATTGCCAGCTCCCATGGAATTTTCTGAGTGTAAATCCTCTTTTCCTTTTTTTCCTCCAGAAAAACCTCCCATTTCTTATACGTACCCTTGCTACGATCCTAGCACTTGCACCCATCTCTATACCAAGGATAATTTAGGCCTTCAGTGGCTAATCTGGAGAACATTGGACTTGAACAAAATTGTTCATTTGAAAAACACCTTAGAAAAGAGAGAATATTTCTCAGGGGCAATGGGCAGCAGTTTTTGATTGGTACACAAGTTTTCAAATGAAATTCTGATTCAGACATTACTCCGCTAAAATATTTTTTGGCCAGAGCTAATGAACAGTATGACAAACTTAACAACAAACTAACTCATTTGCCCAGCAAATCTTCCCCCGGCTTCTCCTCCAGTTGACTTCAGCTCTGCAACTCTTCCTCATTCCCCCATCCTCCTTTCACACCTCATTGACTCCTCCCTCTTCTTCCAGACCCCCTACCTTCTCCCAGTGACTCTCCTAAGATCCCGGAATGTCATTTACCTCTAAAGTTCTATCTCTTCAATGACCCAAATACGCAAGCAGCAGTAGAATTTAAACCTTGAACACGAGCTGAATTAAAAGCTATGACTAAGCATTTCCCAAAGGAGTTCAGAATTCTAAATTCTTTTAGTTGTACACAACTCAGGGTTACCTGAGCTATATCAACTTGTATTTATGTTTGTAGATCCTCAGACATTAAATCCTGATGGCAAAAGCCAGTTGGATTCACCAGGACAGAGATCTACAGCATCTTTCTTTCCACAATAAGCCTGAGGGCCAAAAAGAGGCTCAAAAAGTAGGGCAATGTATCCTAAAAGCCTTACTTGAAACATTTCTAGTAAAAATAAAATGGACCACAATTTAATCATGTAAATAAAGAAAAGAAGAAATTATAGGAGATTTTCAGAATAAACTAGAAAACCCCTTTCAACAACATTTGAGTGTTAAAGAAGTGTAAGTGTAATAATGGCTCTTTTACCTACTTTGTTAATGGAATTAAACCTGAAATTGGAGACAATAATTAGATCAAAATTAGAATGGGAAATAGCCACTTTACCTGAACTTCAACACCTGGCTGACATTTTTGCAGAGCCCTAGGACAATAACAAGACAGGATCCAGAATAACCTTACGGCCCTGCAGATCAAACAGTTGAGTGGACGACCCATAGAAGAGGACACCTGCAGATATTGAAAACAGAAGGGACACCTGAAAAATGATTTTCCAGTAAAAATAAGACCAAAAGACCCCTTAATTTAGATCAATGAAGGTACCCAATATCCTGATTTAAAATTTAACATTCAAGGTGAATTAACCATAAATATAGGTGGCCAACCTCAGCAATTCCTGGCAATATGGGCGCTACTCTTTCTTTTCTTTCTTTCTTTTTTTGTTTTGAGACAGAGTCTTACTCTGTCACTGAGGCTGCAGTGCATTGGCACAATCTCGGTTCACTGCAACCGCTTCCTGGGTTCAAGTGATTCTCCTGCCTCAGCCTCCTGAGTAACTGGGACTACAGGCATGCATCATGATACCCTGCTTTTTTTTTTTTTTTTGTATTTTTAGTAGAGATGGGGTTTTGCCATGTTGGTCAGGCTGCTCTAGAACTCCTGACCTCAGGTGATCTGCCTGCCTTGGCCCCCCAAAGTGCTGGGATTACAGGTGTGAGCCACCATGCCCAGCCAGGCACTAACTCTTTCTACATTAAACCCTGGCAATTTTGCTCAACATTTTCCTCATAGGAAGCAAGTAGCAGGTATCTCAAATAACCCACAGATTCCTTCTATCTCCTACTGTAACTACAACCTTTGGGTACTTGACTTAAAAACATTTCTCCCTGCTCTATTATAACACTCTTGCAAATTTAATGGGGAGTAACTTAATTTTCAAATAGAATTATAATAGTAAGTGCACCAGCTGGGCATGGTGGCTCACGCCTGTAATCCTAGCACTTTGGGAGGCTGAGGTGGGTGGACCACTTGAGTACAGGAGTTCAAGACCAGCCTGGATAACACGGTGAAACCCTGCCTCTACTAAAAAAAAAAAAAAAAAAGAAAGAAATATGAAAATTAGCTGGTGTGGTGGCACATGCTTGTAATCCCAGCTACTTGGGAGGCTAAAATGGGAGGATCACCTGAACCCGGGATGCAGAGGTTGCAGTGAGCCAAGATCACACCTCTGCACTCCAGCCCGGGTAACAGAGCAACACTCTGTCTCAGAAAAACAATAAACGCACAGCAGAGTCTCCTGAGGGTTCCTCTATATGTCGTCTCTGGATATACGTTTGTCTCCTTCATTATATTTGACATACGCTCCAGATAAAGACCTCAACACTCTACCTAACACTCTACAAACTAAAAAAATCCATTTATATGGGAAATTACTGGAGCAGAACCTAGTCAAGTTCAGAAGTATCCTAGTAAACCATGGTCAAACTTCCCTGATATTCCTTGAAAAACCAGAAGCAAAGGAAGGCTTCAAAACTGTAGTTGACGACCTTATAACCAAAGACTTTCTCATACGCTGCAATAGCCCATACATCACACTTGTTCTGCTGGTACACTTTTTTCATGACCTCAGGAAAGATCAACAAAATTGTTTTGCTTTGCTTCCTAGTAGTACCTATCCTGTCATCAATTCTGCCCAAAACCACTTGCTTCACCATATTGAATCTTTACTGTGCATTTTTCAGTGTGCTTCCAAACCAGAACAGGCAACGACTTTGCCTTCATCTGGAGAGGACAACAAATATACCCGGATAGTCATACCCCAGGGGCTCACTAAAGCCCCCTCTTACTTTCCACAAGTCCTCAATCAAGACTTAAAGATCTAAATTTCACTTGTGATTCGGTTTTGATGCAATATATGCAGGATCAGATGATCTCCACTGCTTTCTTCAGAGAACGAGGAAGCTGGTGAGAAGGTGAGAGCAAGTAAATACTTGCTCTCAGCCATAGCAGAAAAAGAACATAATGTTTCAAAAGATAAATTATAATTTTGTCAAAAGACAGGCTAGTATTTAGGGCATAAGTTATCTTAAGAGGGTGAAATTATTTTGTCTCTATTGGTAGGCAGAACACTATCGAAACTTCACCTCGATGCCTCGCAAAATGACAATTGAGAGGATTTCTAGATTTAACTGGATATTGTAGACAATGGCTGTGAAATTTTTCTGAGCTTGCAATCTCTTTTTATGAATTGGCCGAGTCCTTAGTAAGAAACTGTCTTTTGTGGGGGCCCAAATATAAATTCTGTAACTCAAGAAGGCTCTCCAGTAGCCTCTTCCTTTGGTGGTTAGGCACTCCCTTTCATAATTAGGCACCCCTGACTACAATATGCCATTTTGTCTAATTGTGCGTGGACAACTTGTACAAGCTTTTTTGTTTTTAACTCAATGTCATGGAAACCATCAAAAATTCATCATTTTCCATAGCCTTACCCTTGACCCAGCTGCAAAGGCTTATAGCCCTTGTCTTAAGGCAACAGCTTCCACTGCAACATTTGTTGATGCTTCTTTTAAACTATTTCTAGGCTCCCCACCTCACATCATGATTCCCTGGCCAGTGTAGACATAACCACTGACAAAGAGCATGCAATACTTTCCAACCAGCTGATCAACTTCTTATGAGAGTTTTACTCCCTCTCTCTCGCTTTACTATTCACTGATGCAATTCCTTAAACTGCCACTCTTCTCCCCCTGCCAGAAGAAGGGAACCTCATGATGGTTATAAGTCAGTTAGGGGAGTTTCTGTACCTCACTCAGATTGATGAGAGACTGACTTTCATTGTGAACTCTGATTCAATGTTATTCATTGATGGATCATACCTCAAAACTGATATTGAAAATTATCACTAATTTAAGCTCTACTTTAGAATATATTTTCTATCTGAGGTAAAATCAACCCATATAATGGAATTTATTACACTTACTAGAGCTTGTCAATTAGCTGAAGACCATGTAGTAAACATAGAGCAGGTATGCTTTTAGAGTACTACATGAATTTGGGATGCTTTGGGGAAAAAAAGAAATTCATCATCTCTGCTGGAATCCCCATGAAAATGAATAAGTTAAGGCACTCTACTTTCTAGAGTTGGCTATTTTAAGGTTGAGGCCCATACAAAGAAAGAAGGTAATAGAAAAACTAAAGAAAAAATTCTAACAGAACTTTATGCCAAAAAAAAAGCCTTAACTAAAGTTAATGTTTTTGTTTGTTTGGTTGGTTGGTTTTTGTTTTTTGAGATGGATTCTTGCTCTGTCGCCCAGGCTGGAGTGCAGTGGCGCCATATCAGCTCACTACAAGTTCCGCCTCCTGGGTTCACGCCATTCTCCTGCCTCAGCCTCCTGAGTAGCTGGGACTACATGCGCCCGCCGCCACGCCTGGCCTTTTTTTTTTTTTTTTTTTTTTTTTTAGTAGAGATGGGGTTTCACTGTGTTAGCCAGGATGGTCTCCATCTCCTGACCTCGTGATCCGCCTGCCTCAGCCTCCCAAAGTGCTGGGATTACAAGCGTGAGCCACCGAGCCCGGCCTAAAGTTATTGTCTTCTGTAAATCTTCAAAGGAGAAGTTTCTAAGGATTCAGATAGGCCATTATAAAATATCAGTGGGTCAACCCCAGTTTCCAAACGGAAGTCTGGAAATTCCACCTCAGACTGGAGCTTCCAAATGTGGCCACCCTTGATTATTCAGGCAGTCTACCTGGGGGAGTTACTGACTCACTGTGTGAATAATCAGAGTGAGAATTGTACAAATAGAAAAAAACTGTAAGAAAACCATCATCAATAGTTTTATCACCAATAACTCTGGCAGAAGTTAATGACATTGTCTCTTCCCTATACGAAATATAAATCAGCCTCAATTCATTGGTACAAGTAATAATAACCACATTTCTCTAGATTTCTTGTTGGCTACTCATGGTAGCTCTGTGTTATTGCTAATACTTCTCACTATATTTGAATCAACGAAACAGGCAAAGTAAAACAGGCTCTACATCTCACATTTCCTTATGGAAAAAAGATAATTGCCATTCTAAGGCAGATCTTCAAGGTCTGTGGCCTATATGTTCTCTTGGTCTGGGTTGGAAAATTAGAATTTCTGCTTCTGTAACATTTTATAGGGACTAGTGATTATTTTTGTTTTTGAAACCCGACCTTTAAGCCAAAGACAGCCTGACCCCTGAAAACCCAACTGCCAGTTCTAGGTAGAGTCCACAACCGGAGTGAGAACATCCTCTATGCCTTTTAACCAATAAATGGTGCTTTTTCCAAGACCTCCCCCGGCCCAATCAGCATGCACTCCCCCATTCTGAGCCCTTAAAAATCCTATACTCAGCCACACAGATGGCTGCCGGCTTTCAGGCCCCCTTTCACACAGAAGTCTACCCACTTCAGGTCCCCTCTTGTGTTGAGAGCTTTTCTGCCGCTCAATAAAATTCTTCTCTGCCTTTCTCACTCTCTGCTGTCCACACACCTTATTCTTGTTGGTTGTGGGAAATCCCCAAGCTGCGGGTGACAGTAACAAAGGAGATGTAAGGCACCCCTGTTCACTGGGCTGCAGGCAGCAGGAACCAGAGAGAACTGTAACATTTCCAGGGGGCTCAGACCTCAGGACTCCCCAAGCAAAAGCTGTAACACCCTTTGGGGCTTTGCAGTTGCTGTCATCTCCAAGTATTCTGGCGCCACCACCTCCCCTTCATCTCGATACCAGCGCCCAATATGGAAGCCAATTGCAGCATGCCCAGTCCAGCTATGAGCTGAGCACACAGCCACACTGACCACAGGATCTGGGCCAGTAATGTGAGCCAAGCGCAGCCTGCTGGGCCAAGTGGGCAGAGCAACCCGGCAGGCCTGAGCAAGGGCCGGAACAGAAGTCAGTGCAGCCACAGAGATTTCCAGCTGGTGAAGCGGCACTGAAGGAATTCTGTAACACTGTAACCTCCCTCTCACTCACCAAGCAACAGGGGAGAAAAAGCCGCTGGGCGCCATTCCACCCTGCACATGGAACTACAAAGCGTGCAACACTTTGGTCATACCTGCCATGATGCAGGTCCATCACATCCTCTGCCAAGTCTTACATTCTACTGGGCAGCTGTTCTCACCAGAGATCATTGCCATACTGTGTCCGGAGTTGGTTCCTACTGGTGGGTTCATGATCTCGCTGACTTCAAGAATAAAGCCACAGACCTTCGCTGTGACTGTTACAGCTCTTAAAGATGGCACAGACCCAAACTGAGCACTAGCAAGCTTTATTGTGAAGAGGAAAGCTTCCACAGCATGGAAAGGGGAGCAGGTTGCCACTGCTGGCTGGGGTGGCCAGCTTTTATTCCCTTATTGGCCCCTCCCATATTCTGTTCCTGTCCTATCAGAATGCCCTTTTTTCAATCCTCCAGGCAATTGGCTACTTTTAGAATCTGCTGACTGGTGCATTTTACAGAGTGCTGATTGGTGCTTTATACAATCCTCTTGTAAGACAGGGAAGTTCCCCAAGTCCCCACTGGACCCAGGAAGTCCAACTGGCCTCACCTCTCAGTGCTGACACAACAACAAAAAGTCAAGACCTCACAATATAGTTTGCAATGGAGACCACTCGGCAATATCATAGTGGTGAAGATGTGGGTTTCTAGCTGCCCCTGAATTGGTCAATCTCTCGTAAGTAAGAGAATGACCATAATGGGGGGCTGAGAGGATAAATATTCAAATGAGTAGTGGTCAGATGATATGACAATAGAATTCTGATTCACAATCTCTGAAGCCACCAGTCCAGGAAGCCAAACCGCATCATTGGCAGTAATTGGTCCCAAGTGGTCAGGATATCATTAATGACTGTTAGCTTCCCTATTTTGCCTTGTTTCCAACTTAGAACCAACCAAATAAAGCAAAATATGTTCCCCAAACCAACCACATAAGATACTCTGCTTCTAGTTAACCTACTTCCAACTTCCCCTTGCCAACTACATGCAATCAGAGCATACTTGAAGCCTTCCCCCACGCTTTCCCTCCCGTTTTTTGCTCACTCTAAAGCTTTCCCACTCACAAACTTTGAATTAATCACCTGTTCTCATGTGGGTAGTCTACCTTTATTTCTACAGTAAGGTGCATGCAAGCCTTTTCTAGTCACATTTAAAATGGTGAAAAGCAGCATCATACCAGAAATATTTGATTTTCTACTTTTTGATTAGGTAAGCAGAGAGGGATGATTTCTGAGTCTTACAAAGAGTACATATCACTTCAGAAACATATGAGTTGTGGAAAGTGATGTCTGCTTTTCTCTATATTATACATAAAACATAGCAAATATCTTACTTTAATGAGCTGGTGTGTGGGGATATGGAGATGACCAAGCTGAAAGGATTGACAATAAGATAACAACTAGAAACTGAATCCCTGAAGTGACATCTCTGTGCTTGCAGCCTTTTCTCTGAATATAAAATGCACATTTTTACACAACCCCTGTGAAATCTTAGCACTTTATATCACAAGGGTAAGTAAAATGCACACATTTTTAAAAATCAAGTATTTTAAGGTCTCCAAAATGACAGATCTTTTCCCTCTGTGAGTCATATCATGATTTACCTTGAAAGTATTTTAAGAATATTCTACGACACAAAGAGACTAAGGTTATTCAAATGAGTTTGAAGTCCCTTTAGTTTCTCTTTATTCTCAATGAATTGCAAAGGCAACTGCAGTTCCTTACCCTGCTTCCAGCTCTCTGCTGAAGTTGAGGTTTGTGGGGGTTCAATCAGGCCAATTGGAAAAATATTAATGATAGTTATAGTAATAGCCACAAACTCTCTTGGAAAGCCTGAGAGTTTGCATAGCTTCTGATTGTCTGGCTGAAGGCAGCCAGAGTCTCTTTGCAGGAGCTAGAGAGCTTAAGGCACAAATACAAAATAATGTAGAGTAGTTTATCTAACTAACTTGTTTTCCTAAGACTAACCTTTGATGTACCCTGGGTGCTTAATTGCTTTCTACTCAGGAAGTCCACAATGTCAGTTACCCTCTAATGGTGTTTTCCTATGACCTTTGTCAATTAATCTTTACTAAATAAATGCAAGTCTCACTGACTGATCGAGGAGTTGCAACTGTTTGCAGTACTCTCCAGGGAGTCTGTAGGTGGCTCAGACACTCAGCTGGACTGGCAAAGCAGAATATCTGTGTGTCAGTGTACTTCATTCATCCATCGCTGGGTCAGGGTCTGCAGGTTGGACCCTAGCAGAGGTTCCTCAAAGGATTCCACATTCTTGGTCACCAAAGCTGTTGTGGTTTTCTTCACCATGGAAGTAGATAAGTAGCAGGCCTTTGCCCTAATAGTTGGTCAAGTCCCTGCAGGCCCATGGGGACCAGTGTTCTGGCAAATGCTGGTTGGGGAGAACATACAGATTTTAATCACTTTTAAAAATAGACTCGGGGGTACAAGTGCAGTTTTGTTACATGGATATATTGTGTGCTGGTGAAACCTCAGCGTTTAGTGTACCCATCACCCAAATAGTGTACAGTGTACCTTTCAGGTAATTTCTCATCCCTCAATTCCCTCTCACCCTTCCAGTATCTACTGGAGTCTCCAAAATCTCCAATGAGTCTTCAATGTCTATTCCACTTTTCATGTCCATGGGTACATATTACTTATCTCTCACTTATAAGTGAGAACATGCAGTCTTTGAATTTCTGTTTCTGAGTTATATCACTTAAGATAATGGCCTCCAGTTCCATCCATATTGCTGCAAAAAGTATAATTTCATTCCTTTTTATGGCTGAGAAGTATTCCATACTTCCCAAACAGAAATGTTGTACTTGTGATAACATCCAGCCACTTCTTTTATCTTATTTGGAATTCAAAGGGGGCAAATTTCTTCTTATTATTAAGCAGTATATAAAGCAACCAAGAATAATCTTCAGACCAAAGAAGACTATTCATGTCCATGAGGATGGCACAGAGAGAGACTGGCATAAGATAAACTGTGAAAGGCAGAGGAATGGAAGGGTTTAGGGCTTCATAGGTCAGGATAAGCAACTTGAATTTTATTCTGAATGCAATGGGCAATCATTGAAGTGCTTTAGGCAGTGGAGTGACTTTTTCTTTTCAAGTTTTGAGTGATTGTCCATCTTCAACCTGTAATCCCTCCTATTTACCATAATTCTTCCTTTTTACCAGAATGGTTACAGAGCCAAGTCAAGGGAGGGGTTGGTACCATTAGAATATAAATAACATTTTCTGAATAGACATAGGGCTTTTCTTGCAACACTAAGTTACCATTACACTTCTAGATAAAACAAATGTGATGATTTGTACATGTGCATAGAATCTAGGATGAATTGTACTTTGAGTTCTAGACTCAAATTGGGGTGGTAGAAGTGGAATGGAGCCAGGAAATAGTTAAATTCTAGTCTCTGGGGTTCCATTAAGGAGAACAGATCATTCTTATCCTCTTTGGTTATAAAGACCCTAAACTGTCTTTTCCATGCTTGGAATGGGTAATTTTAAATTTTAAATACATAGAATAAGCAGGCCTTCAGGAATTTATTACTTCACACAGTCCATATGCAGCCCTCTTATTTTGTGCCTTAGCCCCTGTGGACACCTCTTCCCAAAGCACCAGATTTTCCTGCTGTTGTAAGTGTGTACAGGACCCAAGGCTAAAGTACCTTACTGACACAGCAGGCTGCTGACCTCACCCCTCATCTTCAAAGCATTTTCAAGTTGGAGCATATTTGTGAAATAAATATTATCTTTCTTCCTTCTAATTACAAAATTAATAAATGTTACTTTGTAAAAATAATAATTTAAAAATCACTCCTATTTTCATCATTCCCAAATAACAGCTAAAATTTTAGTGCCATCTTTTTTTTAATCTTTCTTGTGCACTCATTTACAGTGTGAGGTACAGGGAAATTTAAGGAGCAAAGAAGAAGTTTAATTTTTTAAAATCATTTTGAAATTACTAGAAGTATTAAATCCTTAGAGGTTAAGTTCATTTACATTGGAAAAACTCTCTTTTTCTCTGGCATGAACCACTTGGACAGTCCCTCTCATGATAACAGGTATAAGGCAAGTGCCCAACGCATGGTTCAGGGGATGGTTGTAACTATGTTTGTCTTATCAATGGTCTGATAAGTGAGGTTGCTCCTGCTTCTAGAAGTATCTATTTTTCTTTTGCAAATTTATAGAGATATAAAAGAGCCATTTGTGCAGAAGGGAAGTGGCATCCAGACCATTTCTCTTTGAGCTTCAGTGCCATTTAGAACATGTTTGATAAACTAGGGTGTCTCAGACTCACAAGTATTGGGAGAAAAGAGCAACAGTGGCCCATTAAAGGAAACTCAATATAAGTGAAGTGAGGTACTGGCTGGGACTGAACACTTGGGTCACTGCTGATAGGGAGAATGTGTGGCAGATGCTGACTTCTGTATCAGGATTATCAGTGGTGTTTGAAGCCTGTTGAAGTGGATTGTGGTGAATGCTCGTTCAGTCACACCACTCACCCGTTAGTTAAAGGCCATAAGAAGGCAGAAAGGCAGGTTCATCCTGAGTCAGGGTTTGTGAGAGTGATGCCATGCGATGGGCAGAGAGGCTAGGGAAGCAGCTATCAAACGATAATGTACTTCAGAGGCGCATATTCCATTTGCAGATTTCAAGCTTCATTCATTCCAGATTGAATGGGGCCTAGGAATATGCATTTTAGCAAGTACCCCTGGTAATTCAGAGGCAGTAGTTTCATGGACCACACTTGGAGAAACACAGTTTTGACTAATGATAGAAGAGAGGAAATGGTAAATAATGGACGATATTCTTCCTAAGCTTGATAAGATGAGAAACGAATACAGCAGGAGCTAATAGATGGGGAGAAAGTCAGGTGGAATGGATGGAATGAATGCGGTTACTGAGTATCAGGATGAGGGGAATTTCATCCTGAGGAGAATATGAGTAAGAAGCATTTTCAAGCAAAATAAAAATCAGATATGACTTTTCCTACTGAAAAGTCTGAAGTTAAAATAATTAAAACTGCTGTTTGTTCAGAAATCGACAAATCAACAATGAAATGAGGGGTCTCAGAATATAGTGTGCACGTATGAACATAATGAAAGGTAAAGGTGACATTATAAATGTGTAGGGTCACAGAATATGAACAAAGTGACATAATAACATACAGAAAGGACATTTTGTCTTTTGTGTCACACTGTGTCTCATCCCCCACAGGAAGTAGGAGCACATGTCCAATGGCATTTAATTAGTAGACACTTTTGAAAACTGAGAGAATATACAACCACCCAACAGTCAGAATACCCCTCCCTCTTCTACATAGAGAGGCGGGAGAGACTGATACCAGGTACCTCCAGGTGATTGAAGAGCTAATATTTAGTGAGCAATGAGTGTATGATTTTGAAATAGACATCTTGTCACTTTTCAGTGTTTTCTACAGATAGAATAGAACCAAGAGAAATGAAGAAGTGTGGTGGTGAGGGAACAGGCTTAGATACAGAATGCCAAATATCTCACTGATGGCTTAGGCTACCCGCAAATTGGATACAAATGCTAAAATCACATCCCTGTGGTAGTGAGAGAGAGCAATGATCTTAGGTTTATGGTAAGGAAGAGATTTCTATGGGAATTCTATGGAGGGGTTACTCAACGTTTTACTGGTGTTCAACTTCAGTATATTGCCTAACCCATTTAAAGACTTGTCTTTGTGTAGTATTTGATAGATTAATATATATTTTAATACATTTTTCTACCCAATTTTCCTTAATAAATTAAAAAACTGTGGTTCAGAGTGATAAAGGGTATTGAAGTTGGTACCATTAGAATATAAATAACATTTTTCTGGCCAGGCTCAGTGGCTTACACCAGCGGGCGGATCACCTGAGGTTAGGAGTTCAAGACCAGCCTGGCCAACATGGTGAAACCCGGTCTCTGCTAAAAATACATATATGTATATGTAGCTGGGCGTGGTGGTGGGCGCCTGTAATCCCAGCCACTCGGGAGGCTGAGGCAGGAGAATCGCTTGAACCCGGGAGACAGAGGTTGCAGTGAGCCAAGATCGCGCTACTGCACTCCAGCCTGGGTGACAGAGTAACACTCTGAAAAAAAAAAAAAAAAAAAAAAAAAAAAAAAAAAATATATATATATATATATATATATATATATATAAACATTTTTCTGAATAGACATACTGATATGGTTTGGCTCTCTGTCCCCATCCAAGTCTCATCTCGAATTGTAATCCCCACACGTCCGAGGAGGGACCTGGTGGGGGGTGGTCGGATCACAGGGACAGTTTCCCCGATGCTGTGCTGGTGCTGGTGAGTGAGTTCTCATGAGATCTGATGGTTTTTTTGTAAGAGGAAGTTTCGCCTGTTTTCTTTTTCCTGCTGCCTTGTGAAGAAGATACTTGCTTCTCCTTTGCCTTCCGCCATGATTGTAAGTTTCCTGAGCCCTCCCCAGCCACGTGGAACTGTGTCAATTAAACCTGTTTCCTGAGAGGTGCTCCAGCCTCCGCGCGGTCAGCGCCGTAGTGTCCGGCCTGCCGCATGCCCTGCAGGTAGCGCCCCCGCCTGCGGCCCAGAGTGCACTCGCGCCTGCGCCATCTCCCGGAAAAATTTCGCGCCACGCAGAGATGACAGCCAAGGAGATGAAGGCGACCGAGAGTGCGGCGCAGCCGGCGCCGCTGCCCAAGAAGGAAGTGGACGTCAGCCCCAAACAGGATGAAGGAGTGCTGAAGGTCATCAAGAGAGAGGGCACAGGTACAGAGATGCCCATGACTGGGGACCTAGTCTTTGTCCACTACACTGGCTGGCTGTTAGAGGGCACAAAGTTTGACTCCAGCGTGGATCGCAAGGACAAATTCTCCTTTGACCTGGGAAAAGGGGAGGTCATCAAGGCTTGGGACATTGCCGTAGCAACCATGAAGGTGGGGGAGGTGGGCCACATCACCTGCAAACCAGGATATGCCTAGGGTTCAGCAGACAGTCCTCCAACGATCCCCCCATAACGCCACGCTTGTGTTTGAGGTGGAATTGTTTAAGGAAGAAGATCTGACGGAAGAGGAAGATGGGGGAATCATCCGCAGAATAGGGACTCGCGGTGAAGGCTATGTCAAGCCCGATGAGGGCGCTATGGTGGAGGTTGCGCTGGAAGGGTGCTGCAAGGACCAGCTCTTTGACCAACGGGCGCTCCGCTTTGAGGTTAGCGAGGGGGAGAACCTGGATCTGCCTTATGATCTGGAGAGGGCCATTCAGCACTTGGAGAAAGGAGAACATTCCACTGTGTACCTCAAGCCCAGCTATGCTTTTGGCAGTGTTGGGAAGGAAAAGTTCCAAATCCCACCAAATGCCGAGCTGAAATATGAATTACATCTCAAGAGTTTTGAAAAGGCCAAGGAATCTTGGGAGATGATTTCAGAAGAGAAGCTGGAACAGAACACCATAGTGAAAGAGCAGGGCAGTGTGTACTTCAAGGAAGGCAAATACAAGCAAGCTTTACTACAGTGTAAGAAGATTGTGTCCTGGCTGGAATATGAGTCTAGTTTTTCCAATGAGGAAGCACAGAAGGCACAGGCCCTTCGACTGGCCTCTCACCTCGACCTGGCCATGTGTCAGCTGAAACTACAGGCCTTCTCTGCTGCCATTGAAAGTTGTAACAATGCCCTAGAACTGGGCAGCAACAACGAGAAGGGCCCCTTCCGCCCGGGAGAGGCCCACCTGGCGGTGAATGACTTTGAACTGGCATGGGCTGACTTCCAGAAGGTCCTGCAGCTCTACCCCAACGACAAAGCCGCCAGGGCCCAGCTGGCTGTGGGTCAGCAGCGGATCCACAGGCAGCTTGCCTGGGAGAAGTTCTATGCCAAAATGTTTGAGAGGCTGGCTGAGGAGGAGAACAAGGCCAAGGCAGAGGCTTGCTCAGGAGACCATCCCACTGACACAGAGATGAAGGCGGAGTGGAAGAGCAACACGGCAGGGAGCCAGTCTCAGGTGGAGACAGAAGCATAGCGCCTCTCACCAGCCCTACTCCTGAGGCTGCCTGCCCCCCAGCCTCCCCACTCCACCCTGTTAGTTTTGTAAAAACTGAAGAATTTTGAGTGAAAACAAAACAAAACAAAAAACTCCTCTTTCATTTATAAATTACACAGTCTCAGGTATTTCTTTATAGTAGTGTGAAAATTGAATAAAACACATAATTTCACCTTGTAAGGTGAATCCTCCTTGGTTCTCATGTAACCAATGTTTTAACACTCTTCTTTAAAAGGGCTTTTCTTAATGTTGGAAAAATTTCCCAAAACAAAAAGTGCAATAGGGACATATTAAATTTAGCAACCAAAGTGAACAATGTCTATTTTGTTTCTAGTTCCCTCTAGTCACTGTGCTCCTTGGTCACTCCCACACCCTAAATTCCGAAACAAGTGGGCACTCAAATCAGGAAGACCACAGTGGCACTCAAATAAAAAGCCCTCCCAGCATCCCTCTTATTTCCCCTAGGAGTTTTTTTTTTTTTTTTTTTTTTTTTTTTTGAGACGGAGTCTCGCTCTGTCGCCCAGGCCGGACTGCGGACTGCAGTGGCGCAATCTCGGCTCACTGCAAGCTCCGCTTCCCGGGTTCACGCCATTCTCCTGCCTCAGCCTCCCCAGTAGCTGGGACTACAGGCGCCCGCCACCGCGCCCGGCTAATTTTTTTGTATTTTTAGTAGAGACGGGGTTTCACCTTGTTAGCCAGGATGGTCTCGATCTCCTGACCTCATGATCCACCCACCTCGGCCTCCCAAAGTGCTGGGATTACAGGCGTGAGCCACCGCGCCCGGCCTATTTTATGAAACTTTAAGCCCATCTTCTTTCTTTTTTTTTTTTTTTTGAGACGGAGTCTTGCTCTATCGCCCAGCCTGGAGTGCAGTGGCAAGATCTCGGCTCACTGCAAGCTCCGCCTCCCGGGTTCATGCCATTCTCCTGCCTCAGCCTCCCGAGTAGCTGGGACTACAGGCACCCGCCACCACGCCCGGCTAATTTTTTTGTGTTTTTAGTAGACACGGGGTTTCACCATGTTAGTCAGGATGGTCTCGATCTCCTGACCTCGTGATCTGCCTGCCTAGGCCTCCCAAAGTGCTGGGATTACAGGCTTGAGCCACTGTGCTCAGCCCCTTCTTATTTCTTAATTAATTTATTTATTGAGGAGCCATGTAGGGAGACCTAGTGTACAAGCTTCCTGCATTTAGAATCAGTTGGACTTAATTTCTCTCTAATGCTTGTTTTCTTATCTGTGATTTGGTGGTCATAATAATACTTATATAAGAGGGTATGATTATTCCGAGGACTTATGGAAGTAAAGTGCTTAAAATGCTTATCACAGAGCCTGACACATAGTAGCCTCTAAAAATTTGTTACCAGGCACTGCGTTGGTAACATAAAAAAAAATTCTCCTGTTTTCAAGTATACTACTGTTTCACAAGGGAGAGAAAAAAACATAAAAATAAAATTAAAAGTTAATTTTAATTAACTTTAATTAAAAGTTTATTCTAAAGATATAGTAGGTAAATTTTTATCTGAAGAATTAAAAATGAGCAGGATACTATGATTCATTTTAAATTAATTTTTGTGCATGGTGAAGTGCAGGTCAAGATACATGTTTTTCCCCATTGTATTAGTCAGGGTTCTCCAGGAAAAGAGAACCAGCAGAACAGCAGAATGTCTATCTGTCCGTCTATGTATCTATCTACCTATCTATATCAAGAGATTTATTTTTTAAAATTGGCTTACACAATTGTAAGGGCTTGGTTAATCCAAAATCTACAGGTTAGGCCAGCAGGCTCAAGACCCAGGGAAGAGTTGCAGTTTGACTCCAAAGGCAGTCTACTAGCAGAATTCCTCCTTGCTCAGGAAGTGTCAGTCTTTGCTCTATTATTATTATTATTATTTTTTGAGACAGAGTCTTGCTCTGTCGCCCAGGCTGGAGTGCAGTGGCATCTCAGCTCACTGCAAGCTCCACCTCCCAGGTTCACACCATTCTTCTGCCTCAGCCTCCTGAGTAGCTGGGACAACAGGCACCTGCCACCACGCCCGGCTAATTTTTTGTATTTTTAGTAGAGATGGGGTTTCACCGTGTTAGCCAGGATGGTCTCTATCTCCTGGCCTCTTGATCTGCCCACCTCAGCCTCCCAAAGTGCTGGGATTACAGGCGTGAGCCACCGTGCCTGGCCAGTCTTTGCTCTATTAAGTCTTTCAACTGATTGGAGAAGGCCCTTCCACACTATGGAGGGTAATGTGCAAACCCTAAGTCCACTGATTTATGTATTGTTCTTATCCAAACGAAAAAATCTTGACAGAAACATTCAGAATAATGTTTGACCAAATATCTGGGCACTGTGGCCCAGCCAAGTTTAAAGACAAAATTACCCACCACACCTACAGATATCTAACTGACCTAGTAAATTTTATGGAAAAGACTATCTTTTTGTCCGTTGAATGGAAGTGGCATCTTCAGGAATATGTATCTAAAATATCTATTCTGCCTTAATTATAGTGTTTATAGTAAAATAATTCTCATATGTAATACATATGAGAATATGTAAATAAATTATGTAATACATAAATATAAATATCATTTATAGTAAGCTAAGTCAAAGTTTAATTTTTAGCAACATTTATTCAGGATGGATCATAGGCCACAATGTGGAAGCTTGGACAGTAAAAACAATACAAATTCTATAACAAAAAAGTACAAAATATCTTCCATGACCTTGAGATAGGCAAAGATTTCTTAAACAGGACCAAAAAGACACCAAATATTTTTAAAGTTTATTAAATTGAACTTCTATAAATTAATGACTTCTATTCATCAAATAATATAATTAAGTTAGTTAATCTTGATGTCATCCCATTTGTTTATTTTTGCTTTTGTTCCCTATGCTTTCAGGGTTATATCCAAAAAATTGCTGATCAAACCCATATCTTGGAGCATTTTCTCTGTTTTCATGTAATAGTTTTCCAGTTTCAAGTCTTATATTTAAGTCTTTCATCAATTTAGAGTTAATTTTTGTATATGGTATGATATAAGGATCTCATTTCATTCTTCTACATGCGGATACTCAGTTTTTCCCACAGCATTTATTGAGAAGGCTGTGCTTTCCCCACTGTGTGTTCTAGGAACCTTTGTCAAAAATCAAATGGCTGGGTTTATTTCTGGGCTTTCTATCCTGTTCCATTGGTCAATGTGTCTGTTTTTATAGGAGTACCTATGTGGTTTTAATTAATATCACTTTATAACATGTTCTGAAATCAGGGAGTATAATGCCTCCAGCTTCGTTCTTTTTGCTAAATATTGTTTTGGCTATTCAGCATCATTTGTGTCCTCAAGTCAATACTCTAAGTTCCTACTCAAGAAATAAGAAAGAAGAACAAAGTAAATTCAAAACAAGGAAAATGAGGGAAATAAAAATAAGAGCACAGCTAATATCAAAAAATCAATCACTTTCCTATACATCAGCAATAAACAAGTGGAATTTGAAATTAAAAACAGAATATCATTTACATTAGCACCCCTAGAAATTAAAAACATAGGTATACATCTACCGAATTTGTATAAGATCTATATGAGGAAAGCTATAAAGCTGAGGAAAGAAATCAAAGAACTAAATACATGGAGAGCTATTCCATATACATGGATAGAGAGACTCAATGTTGTCAAGATGTCTTTCTAACTTGATTTGTGGATCCAGTGCAATGCCATTCATTACAACAGCAAATTATTTTATGCAATCTAAAATGTACATAGAGAGACAAAATATCCAGGTAGCAGAGCGTAGAATAATGTTTGCCAGGGGTTGGGGGTAGGGGAAATTGGGAGACGTTGAGTAAAGGGTCCAATTTCAGTTATGCAAGAGAAATAAGTCCTGGAGATCTAATGTATAGCATGGTGACTATTGTTAATAATACTGTATTGTATACTTGGAATTTGCTAAGAGAATAGATCCTAAGAGTTCTCATACAATAAAAAAGGAAGGTAAATATGTGAGGTGATGGATATGCTAATTAGCTTGATTATGGTAGTCATTTCACTATGTTCATGTTTATAAAAATACCACATTGATGCAAGCTTTTGGGCTGGGGATCAGAGTTCTGGTGCGATTCTAGACTCTTCTCAAGAAGAATCTGAATACACTCTTGTGGGGATGGTACAACCAGCCTAGTTCCTGTGACAGTGTTCTTTCCCCTGTAGCCAGATGTGGGTTGGGTAGTGAGAGGTTAGTCAAGGTTAGTCAGCTCCAGAAAGTCTGTCTGTCTCCACAAAGGGGAGTGACAAAGAGCGGGAGCCTGAACTCAAGTGAAGAGCAATCATGAGGGCGACCTCATAAGGAGGACTTCTCAAACACGGGGCCATCTAAGTTTCACAATGACCGTAAAAGAAAGCCATTGTTTTTTTTTTTTTTTTTTTTTGAGACGGAGTCTCGCTCTGTCGCCCAGGCTGGAGTGCAGTGGCGGGATCTCGGCTCACTGCAAGCTCCGCCTCCCGGGTTCACGCCATTCTCCTGCCTCAGCCTCCCAAGTAGCTGGGACTACAGGCGCGCGCCACTACGCCTGGCTAATTTTTTGTATTTTTAGTAGAGACGGGGTTTCACCGTTTTAGCCGGGATGGTCTCGATCTCCTGACCTCGTGATCCGCCCGCCTCGGCCTCCCAAAGTGCTGGGATTACAGGCGTGAGCCACCGCGCCCGGCCAGAAAGCCATTGTTATCTCCATTTTCTGATGAAGTAGTCTGAGAAATAATGAGACTTTCCTGAAGAAAACCAGTAAACAGCAAAGTCAGCATTTATTCTTTTCACTCCACAGACATTTTTATCTAGGTATTGTTCAAAGGACTAAATGTGTGTCAGTCTTCATTAGTCATGGATTTTTATTTTAAAAAGTGTGGTCAAAAATACTTTATTAAGTGGGTGATATTTAAATAAACCCTTGCATGAAGTGAAGAAGCAAGCTCTGTAGATATTTGTGGAAAGAATGTTTCAGGTGGACAGAACAATTAAAAGGACTAAGGCTGGAGAAGGCCTGGCCAGTTTAGGGAACATCAAAGATACAAGGGGTGAGGGTGAAAGGGAACGGGTAGAAACGGAGATGGAAGAAAGTTTTTTGTCTTTACCTAACAGTCATGGGATGAGCAACTCAGCTTTGCATGATTATCCGAGTACAGGTTTCTTTCAACTTTTTGCTGTTCCATGCCCCAGGGTATGGTCCATATCTGCCTAATCACAGCTGGGTCATGTGCTTGTAACAGAAGGGGAAAGAGGGCACATTCTAGGGCAAGTAGCTTATTTTGTAATTTGAAGATGTCCTATACGGTCGATTGTTTCCAAAGATGACTGCAACACTCCATTCTATCTTACATGCCCTTTTGCAATATGACTTTTCCACTTTTCCATCAAGACATAGAATCTGTCTTACCTCCCCTTAAATCTGGACTAATCTTATGAGTTGCTTTAACCAATATCATGTGGTAGAAATGACAATGTGCAACTCCAAAGACAAAACTTCAAGAATCCCCACACCTTCCATTTTTTATGTCTTGGAATGCAGCTGCCATGCTGATAGAAAGCTAAGCTAGACTGACGGAGGAGAACAGAGCCCCAGAGTCAGCCAATAGTCAGCACAACTACCAGCCATATGATTTAAACCATAATGGAAGTTCTAGCCCTGGCTGAGCTCCATAGGAGTGAAACTGCAAGTGTGAGCTCATAAGAGACCACCAAATGAGCCTGACTCTTAAATATTTGGTGTAAGCAAGTGTGAGAATGGAGTTTCCACCAGATGAGATTAGGAAGTTTACAGGTAAACAAAGTTTTGAATGCAAAGATCAGGAGTTCAGGTTTGAACATTGGTAAGTTTGAGCTATCTCTAAGACATCTAAAAAGAGTCAAATAAGCCTTTTGGAATTTTAGTTTGCAGTTTGGGAGAGAGGTGTTGGCTAGAGAGCCACATTTGGAAGTCAGTGGCATATGGATGGAACTAATGCCAAAAGACTGACTGAAACAAGAAAAAAAATTAACAAGGAGGAGTCGTAATCAATTATATCAGATGCTGCAGATAGTGTGAGTAATGTGAGAATTGAGAGTTGACCACTGATTTTAGCAATGTGAGATTTGTTGGACACTTTGACAAGAGCAGTGTAGGGGAAGTGCTGAAAAATCTGATTGGACTGTGTTTACAAGAATAACAGAGAAAAATATTTTAAAAGAGTGTGGATAACTCCTTCAAGGAATTGTGTTGCAAAAGAGAATAGAAATGGGACAGGAGCTGGCAGAGAAAGTAAAGCCAAGAAAAGTTTCTTTTTGTTTGTGTTCTATTGTTGTCATGCCCTTAAGGATAGGGAATATAGCATGACTGGATGTTAATAGAATTTTCCAAGGAAAAATCCAAAGGCCAGAGGTGAGCTAATCTTGCGACTTCTATTTTTGAATAGGTGAAGTATGAGCTTCGTATATGAGTAAGGGTAGTTAGTCTAAGTTAAAAGGTGAGAAGGCAGACTCTGTGGGTGTAGGTACTGGTGGGTAAGTGTCTTTGTTCATTTTGTGCTGCTGTGACAGATGACCACAGATTGCGTGATTAATTTTTTCACAGGTATAAAAGCTGTGAAGCCCGAAATCAAGATGCCAGAATTTGATATCTGGTGAGGCCCTTCTTGCTGCCTGTGCACATGACAGAAGGCAGAAGGGCAAGAGAGCCAAATGCTGCATTTAGCCTCTTTTTTAAGGGCTTTGCTGCAGTTTGAATGTGTCCTCCCAAAAATCATGTGTTAGAAACTTAATTATCATTAAAATAGTATTAAGAGGTGATTACACTATGAGGGCTCTGCCTTCATAAATGGATTAATGCTGCTATTGTGGGAATGGGCTCCCTATAAAAGGACCTATTTGGCCTGCTTTTTTCTCTCTCACCCCTTTTTTATGCCCTTCACGATGAAAGGACACACATGAAGGCCCTAGGCAGGAGTCAGCCCCTTGATCTTGGACTTTCCAGCTCCAGAATAGTGAGCCAATAAATTTCTGTTTATTATAAATTACCCAGTCTGTGGTATTCTGTGTAACAGCATAAAATGGACTAAGACAGTCCTTAATCCTATTCATGGAGGAGGAATCCTCATGGCCTAATTCCTCTTAAAGGCCTCACCTCTCAATATGATCACATTCTTCATTAAGTTTCAACATATTAATTTTGGCAGAAATACATTCAAATCATAGCATTCTTCTCTGGCCACTCAAAATTCATATCCTTCTCATGTGCAAAATACATTATTAATTCCATCCCAATAGCCCCAAAAGTTTTCATTCATTCCAACAACAACTCAAAAGTCTAAAGTCCAGAGGTTTATGTAAATCAGGTATGAGTGAGACTCAAGGAACAATTCATCCTGAAGCAAATTTCCCTCCAGCAATGAGGCTGCAAAGTCGAATAAGTTATTAGCTTCCAAAAACACAATGGTGGTATAGGTGTGGGATAGACATTCCCATCCTGAAAGGCAGAAATTGGCTAAAAGAAAGGGGTAACAAGTTCTGAGTAAATCCAAAACCCAAAAGGGCAAACAACATTAGATCTTAAGGCTTGAGAATAATTTTATTTGACTCATGTTTTACCTTCAAGGCAGACTGGGGCAGGGGTTGGATCCCCAAGGCTCCAAAGGCCACAACCCCATAGCTTTGCTGGGCACAGCCCACACCACAGCCCTCATGGGTTGGAGTCTCCTGCCTGCAGCTCTTTCACGCTGGCATTGCATGCTGGTGACTCTAAAATGTGGAGGTCTCCAGCATGGCCCTACCCCCATAGTTCCACTAGATTTTGTGTTAGTGAGTACTCTCTGAGGTGGCCCCACTCACACAGCTCCACTGTGCATACCTCTGGTGGAGACACTCTGAGGCATTCTCTGAAACCTAGGGGAGGAAGCTAAGCCTTCAAAGCTCCTGAACTCTGTGCACTTGCAGAGTTCGCACTACATGGATGCTGCCAAGTGCTATGGCCTATACCTCCTGAAGCAGTGACTTGAGCCACACCTGGGCCTGCTTGAGCCATAGCTGGGACAGCCAAGGAGCACTGTGCCAGAATGCAGGGAGCAGAGATTTGAGGCGGCCCTGGATGGTAAGCCTCAAGTTCCCATGGGCACCCTGGGCCCCTCCCTCAAACCTGTTCTGCCCCCAAGGCCCTAGCACTCTGCCTGTGAAGAATGTGGCGGCCTCAAAGATCTCTGAAATGTCTTCGCGGTCATTTTCCCATTATCTTGATAAATTGTTCCTGGCTTCCTGCTATTCACACTAATCTGCTTATCAGACTGTCAATTGGGCACACCCTTGGTTTTCTCTACTAAACATGCTTTTTTATTATTTACATGGCCAGGCTGAGAATTTTTCAAATCTTTACATTCTTTACATGTGAGAGCTTCCCTTTTGATTATAAATTCCATCTTTAAGTCATTTCTCTCTTTTTGCATTTTGCTATGAGCAGTTAAGAGAAGCCGTGCAATTCCTTCAACATTTTGCTGCTTAGAGATTTCTTTCATCAAGTATCCTAGTTCATCACTCTTAAGTTCTACCTCCCACAAAATACTGAGGCAGGAACATAATTCAGCCAACTTCTTGGCTACTTTGTAACCATGATGGCCTTTCTTCCAGTTTCCAGTAAGGTGTTTCTGATTTCTCTTTAAGATACCATAATAAAGGCCCTCACTGTCCATATTTCTACCAGTATTCTGGTCACAACCACTGAGATAATATAAGAACTTGTCTAAGATGAACTAAGAAGGTTCAGGCTTTCCCTACAGCTCTCCTTTTGTTCTGAGCCCTCACCAGAATCACCCTTAATGTGCCATGTTGGGCCATACAGGCTTTTTCAGCATTCCCTTTAAAACGGTTCCAGCCTCTACCCATTACTCAGTTCCAAAGCTGCTTCTACATTTTCAGGTATTTGTTGTAGCAACACTCCATTCTCCTGGTATCAATTTTGGTCTCAGTCTATTCGTGCTATTATAACAGAATACCACAGCCTGAGTAATGTGTAAAAAAAGAAATTGGCTGGGTGCAGTGACTCATGCCTGTAATCCCAGCACATTGGGAGGCCAAGGCCGTGGATCACTTGAGGTCAGGAGTTTGAGACCAGCCTAACCAACATGGTGAAACCCTGTCTCTACTAAAAATACAAAATTAGCTAGGCGAGGTGGCGCACACCTGTAATGCCCACTACTTGGGAGGCTGAAGCAGGAGAATCCCTTGAACTTGGGAGGTGGAGGTTACAGTGAGCCGAGATTATGTCATTGCATTCCAGCCTGAGCAACAAGACTGAAACTCTGTCTCAAAAAAAAAAAAAAAAGAAAAGAAAAGAAGTTTATTTTCTCACAGTTCTAGAGGCTGACAAATTCAGGATCAAGGAGACAGTGAGGTCCTTTTGGCATCTGGTGCGGTCCTTTTCGCTGCATTCTCACCTGGCAGAAGGTAGCACGGCAAGAGGGCCAGACGCTGTGTGAAGCCTCTGTTAGAAAGACCTTTATCCCCTTGATGAGGGAGGAGCCCGCATGGCCTTAAAGGCCCATCTTTTAATACTGTCACATTGGCCATTAAGTTTCAATACCTGAATTATGGAGGAGACACATTCAGATCACAGCCATAAGCCAATGTGATGTTGGAAGCTCATGGACATTCTTTTTTGATTGCTTCAGTTTTCTGGTGAAGTAGGGAGCTAAGAATGAGACTGGGAGAAGAGACACTGGCATTTCAAGGAAAGAGAAAAGAGAGAAAAAGTGTTATCTAAGAGAATGAGAGGGTAAACAGGTGTGAAATGTTGTGTGATGCTTTGCAGCTTTAAGGGTACCTGTTATGTTCAGCCTTCACTTTAGAGATGAAGACCCTAAGTCCTGGAGAAGTGATATGCCCGTCCTTGGATCATGCGGCCAATTGAAGTGGAGTCCTTACTAGAACCCAGGACTCCAAATGGCCACCTCAACAATATTTCATGTATGTGCTCCATGTGGTCTTCTGTGTTATAGTTTAGCTACTGAACATAATAGATCTCCAAGTCAAAAAGGCTATTTTTAATACATTTTTTACATGACTGTTCATGTAAAAAGAAACAGACTTTCACTTTGAGACACTTATTTTTTCCTTCAAGCCTGTCTTGCAGATTCCATCAGTACAAATGTCTTATTTATTAAAAGTACAAAGACAGACTTTGAAGCAGAAATTTAAAATGCCCACCTGGGAAAAACCAGATGAAATCTTCACGATCCAGTTCTGTGACAGGTGAGCCAGCAGCAGGCTCCCCATGTCTCCTAAGATACGGGCTTCCACCAGAGAAAAGAGAATATCTAAAGTGCTTTAATGCAACCTGTCCAAAAGTAAACTTTTTCTTTCTCTGGTGAAGAAGACAAAAGGAAAACTTTAAATCTACTCGAAGTTTGTAAAAGAAGCATGACAACTCTTGCCTAGTAGGGCTGTGGCTAGGGCTGGTTCCTAGAGTGGCCATGATGATGGGAGGAGCATGCTAGGATTGGTTCCTCAGCTAGGCCTCCAGACAAGTATGGGGGCACCAACTTTGTGTAACTACCTTCCCACTCATTTTGAGAGCCACAGAGTTTGCACCCTGCACTTGCTGTCTGGTGGCTTTCAACTCCCATTGTCAGCCCTTCCTTGGAGAGATGTATTATATTAATACTTTCCATTGAAGGGCACAGTTTGGTGTCTTATTACCTTCTTACAAAGATCTAGAGCTGCCTTTCTCTACCAGGGCTCCTCATCTGAACCTCAGAGCATGGGAAGTGATGTGAGTAACTGTTTCAGCTCACCAGAGAACAACTACTTGCACGTATAGTAGTTGCTGTCTGTTGTCCAGTCCCAGAAGAGGTTCAGCCACTCACACATCTTTCCAAAATTGGCGAACTCTGTTTTGGTACAGCAAGGATGATGTTTGCAAAATGCTGAGACAAGCAATCACTACAGAATTTTTCAAATCTAATGTATTAGAAGATACAGAGATGTTAAAATGTTGGATATGTTAAAAGTTATCATTGTAATTGGAAAATGTGTTGCTTCTTTAAACTGTGATGGATCATTATACTGATAAAATTTAGTATTCACTCTATGGGAAAAAGCCCAAGCTCTGCTCCAAACATTTTATTTCTACATTAATTCTGCTAATTTCATCTTTCCTCCTTCCCTCGCCCTTTGGAAGGGTAAAATATTTAAGTTGAAGAGAAAAATCTAATTTTAAAAACAATTTTTGTTTAAAACTTGTTTTTGATTTTCATATTATATTTATATTCTGTCTATAAACAGAATCAATAATGAAAGCCATAGATTATGATGGAAGAGCTTCTTAGGTCCATGCTAAAAATGAAACAAAAGCTTATACCTTTACTAGATTTCAACATAAAAAATATATGCATATGATTAAAGAAACCCATAAATAAGGGGAAATCTCACAGAAGTGAAATAAGATTTGAATATGGAAAGAAAAGGACCCAAAAGTCATTGCACATTCACAGAAATCTAGTTTTCATTATAAAGATCATCTTATGACATGCTTTTGCAACATCAGTAGGTAGAATTTCTTTTAGCACAGAGCCTGACCACACTTTCTTTCAAAAATATGGAGTTAATATGTCACTTTTGAAATCATTATTATGATTTTTATTTCCTCAATGTTATACTGAACACACTGAATTTAGGACTGAGGCAAATGAGAGTTAGTCTCCTAGTCACAACTATATCTTTTACAGACTAAGAATTTTGCAAAAATCAAAGCATAGATATAAGTTCACTTCTATCCATCTAAAGAAGCACAAAAAAAGAGCTGTTTTAAAAGGTCATGTCATAGGTGGGTACAGTCCCATTGTTTAGCTGCCTCTCTCTTGACTCTCTGACCTGGGACATTGTGGGGATTTGCCTCATTGCAATAGTTGCAATTCCTGGTCCCAGTTCTCTTGACTCTATCCTTGAAGTCAGAAGTATTAGACAGAAAAAAAATGGAGACTTGAATTTTTTTAGAGAAAACATGTGTGGGTAGATATTTAACTGATTAATGTCCTCTTAATTACTTGAACATTACTAGCCAATACATGTGAGCTTTTGCAGACAAAGGGTTGCAGCCATATCGTCCAATTCTTGTTGGTTACATGTCAACAACCTGTGATCCACTGCACCTGTAAAATACTGTTAGCCCTAATTTCACTCTCATTATTTAATACAAATGATCACTGTTCTTTTTTATTATTTTCTCTTCCTTTAATTTTCTTACTCCCAGTTTTTCTCCACCACTCCATCTTCTTCTTGCATAAACCTCTGCTGGTATCTAACATTCTTTATTCTCAAGGGTGGCATCTTAAAGGGCGTTTCAGATCTTTGGGTCTTACATTAATTTAGTTGTGGGTCCACAGCTGGGAAGCTCAGTATCAAGACTGCCCAATCACTGATAAGAAGAGATAGATGGCCAGGCACGGTGGCTCACGCCTGTAATCCCAGAACTTTGGGAGGCCAAGGTGGGTGGATCATGAGGTCAGGAGATCAAGACCATCCTGGCTAACACGGTGAAACCCTGTCTCTACTAAAAATACAAAAAATTAGCTGGGCATGGTGGTGGGCTCCTGTAGTCCCAGCTACTCGGGAGGCTGAGGCAGGAGAATGGCATGAACCTGGGAGATGGAGCTTGCAGTGAGCCGAGATCGCGCCACTGCACTCCAGCCTGGGTGACAGAGTGAGACTCCGTCTCAAAAAAAAAAAAAAAAAAAAAAAAAGAAGAGATAGATAAGTCAGCTGGTGATCACACTTGACAGAGGCTAAGAGTGAAACTCTGCCTAGGCGATGGGGAGGGCCAGGAGCAGGGGCCCATGCTGTGAAAGGTAAGCCCTCAAACAAGGTGAACAGCGGTGAAGTAAGGGCTTATTCCCTCCTCGAAGATTTTGTTACTATCTTGCCCCTCCGCAGATACGATCCTTTAAAGGTTTCTTATCTTCTTTTGGAGAAAATTCTATACTCCCCTCGTTTTCAAGGACATCTCCAAATTGGTTCCAAAGGGTCTTTCTATTCACAGCTTCCATTAGTCCCTTGCAGGCTCCTAGGCAAACAAGATCATTTATTTATTTATTCATTTTCTTAAAAGTACACCCATTTCCAGCCTCATTCTTGGATCAGGCCCAGCATGGCCTTCCCTCTCATATGTGCACACACTAACCAACTAAAGATGGATTCTAGATCTCCATCACGAAGACTCCTTTAAGCCTCCCAGGGAGGAAGAAACTTCAAGCTTACCATGAGGAAAATATTTTCTTTTTTATACCTCTTTCACAGAGAAATCTTTACCTTTCTATACTGTTTTTATGTAGCTTTTAAGTTATGTCACGAATATTGTAGTGTCCCCATTAACCTCTAAACTTCTTGAAGGAAGGAATTGTGTCTAACCCTTTTTCTGCCTTAATGGTAGTAAAATTTTACTGATTGAAGAATGAATGTGGAAGGATGTTTTCGGGAAATAGCCTTTTGTTTAATACTCAGTAGGTTGGTTTCTATCTTATCTCTTCATAAAACTCCACAAAGTGACAGAATTCCTTCCTTTAATTGAGATCATTCTCAGCTCTAGTCTACCTCCAGATGGTCTGTTTTAAATTAACGGCTCAAAATTTTACTACTCTTGAGAACTTGGGCAAACTAATCAACCATTCTTAGTCTCAGTGTGCTCTTTATAAAATGAAGAAAACGTTAATCCTTCCACTGCTTTGTGAGGCTTGAATGAGATGCGAGTCCCTCAGTTCATCTCAGGGCCCTGTGCTCAGTAATCATCCACTCTTAGGACTGAGCTGAAAGAACAAGCACATTCAAGGAAACAATGGGGTTTAGTTTTTTCCCAAAAAAGTATTTTTATTGCTTGGCAACCAATAAAGAGTTCATAGTTCTTCTACCTCTTCTTTCTCTTTTTATTTAAATAAGCAGGCAATCAAACCTATAGATTTTTCTGTTAAAAATATATTCATTATGTAGACAAAATTTAAGAATGTTAGAAAAACTTTAGTGTAGAGACAACAAATGTCATATAATTAAATATGCCTATGATTATTTTGATTTACATGATACCAAGGGTCTGTGTAGGAAGATAAGTTTAGCCCAAAACAATCTTAGCTGAAGCAAATGCAAAACAGGAAATTTAGACACAAGGAAATAAACACTAGTCCTAAAGTATGCTCTTTAAAATAGCTTTAACGCAGCATAGAGTTTTGCATCTATATTTGTGAACAAAATTATCCATGCAGCTGTCCAATATCTTGCCAGAATTGTAAACTTCAAATTAGGATGCAAACTCAATGTCACTCAAGAAAGTGGTCATGAGGCTGGACTTAGTCATTGGTAATTATTCTGGATTCATCAGCAAGGGCAGAGCTGATTTTACCATTTCATAACACACCACTTCTGAACAGTTTCCTCCCAGGTGCTTAAGAATGAAGAAGTGGCTGTCAGGACTGCACTGGCAATATTTTTCAAAATGTGGATCCCTGGTCATATTAAAATAAAAGTTTTCCCCCCATCAGGTTAGCAGAAATGTAAAATGGAGATTGGAATTTAGATGTAGAGTTTTGTGTCAGAACCACGTTTGATAGTCAGTTACACACATCTGGCCCACAGTTAAGAATGTAAACTAACAGCATTAAGAGCCAGACATCCTGGGTTCAAATACCAGCTCTGCTATATAAGGCTTGGCCTTTCTGTGCCTCAGTTGTCTCACTTGCAAAATCAGGATGATATCATCCTCCAAGGATTACTGTGAGGATTAAATTGTTAATATGCTTAAAGTGCTTGGAACAGAACACACACTCTGTGAAGTCATTACTATTATCATTACATTAACACTTCTCTTTTTGAAAAAGGACACTTTTTCTATTAGTTAAGACAAAGCAAGCCATATATTTGCAAATTCCTAAAACAATGATTGAAATTAAAATTCTATAGGAGAATGACTTAAATTTTCTTTGTAATCAGAATAGATATGCCTCCAGTTCCATTCTTGAAGCAGGATACATGCCAAGGTCAGAAGGAAGGTGACTTCTGCTTTCACAAGCCTGTGAGAGAATGGGATCCGGGATGAGTCCTCTGACTCAGGGGCTCACCTTTCCCACCATGTCATGCAACGCATCAAGGAGGCTCATGTTCTTTCAATTTAAGGAATGCACATTTCATTGCTTGAAAGAGGAAAATTTAAATGTTTCTTCAAAGGTTATACAGAATATTATGACAGACTTAGGACAACAAACAATGCTTCTGTTAACTGTTAGAGTTCTCTTTGGCAGTGTTATTATGAGTTAACTGCTCAGTAAGAAGATGGTTAATATTGAGTGTCAACTTGATTAGATTGAAGGATGCAAAGTATTGTTCCTGGGTGTGTCTGTGAGGGTGTTGCCAAAGGAAATTAACATTTGAGTCAGTGGTCTGGGAGAGGCAGATCCACCCTCAATCTGGTGGGCACCATCTAATCAGCTGCCAGCGAGGAGGCAGGAGAAGATGGAAGAGCAGACTACTGAGTCTTCCAGCTTTCATCTTTCTCCTGTGCTGGATGCTTCCTGCCCTCGAACATCAGACTCCAAGTTCTTCAGCTTTTGGACTCTTGGACTTACACCAGTGGTTTTCCAGGGGCTCTTGAGCCTTTGGCCACAGACTGAAGGCTGCGCTGTCAGCTTCCCTACTTTTGAGGTTTGGGGACTCAGACGGAACCACCACTGGCTTGCTTGCTCCTCAACTTGCAGACAGCCTATCCTGGAATTTTACCTTGTGATCGTCTGAGTCAATACTCCTTAATAAATTCCCTTTCGTATATACATATATCCTATTACTTCTGTTCCTCTAGAGAACCCTAATACAAGGGATTAACATCAGAATTTTGAATTCACCTAAAAGCAAGTGAGGTTACATGAAGTAAGCACAAGAATGTCCTCCAAAATGTACCTTAAATTAAATGGAAAGTAAAGAAGACATGAGAGTTTATTTTTATATTACTGAATGTTGTTTCTTATAAAAGGCATACTTTAATTCAGTAAGTAATTTGAGAGGGTCTGAAGACTAAACTACATGTTAAAAAACATTGCCGGCTGGATGTGGTGGCTCATGCGTGTAATCCCAGCACTTTGGGAGGCTGAGGCAGGCGGATCACAAGGTCAGGAGTTCCAGATCACCCTGGCTAACACGGTGAAACCTCATCTCTACTAAAAATACAAAAAAATTGGCCTGGTGTAGTGGCACATGCCTGTAGTCCCAGCTAATCAGGAGGCTGAGGCAGGAGAATCGCTTGAACCCAGAAGGTGGAGGCAGCAGAATCGCTTGAACCCAGAAGGCGGAAGTAGTAGTGAGCCGAGATCATGCCACTGCACTCCAGTCTGGGTGACAGAGCGAGACTCCATCTCAAAACAAAACAAACAAAAAAACAAAACAAAACATTGCCAATGTTTCCATATTGTGGGAAAGCTATTTATTGGGAAACAGTTTACTATTTTATTAGACCATGCAGATTATGGTGATGTGATATTATACCTAGAGAAATACAATATAGAATAATATTACAGTTTTTTTAAAAGAGCCTTCTACATGTTGCAAAAATCTGATTTTTAATTTAATAGTACTTTAAGTAATCAAGAACATTTTATAAAGAAACAGCAATGATTAGTATTATAAAGATTATCTGTTTGTTTTATTAATCATGGAGAAAAGTTGTCACAATACTTGCCCTTTATGATATTTCAATAAGAATCACCTGCCAAATAATATGGTGATATCCATACCCACAACAATTCCATTGACTTATGAGTTAAAAATTTACTTTTTACTGCAGATGGTTGGTTCCCATGCCCTGAGAAACACAAGATGCTCCATGGAAATGCTGATGATTTTACCTTCATAAAACCAGTTTTATTCACATGTCACATGCCTCAGAAGTCAAGCACAACCTACTCAAAACTTTAGCTCTGCAGTATAGAGGTCTCCTTCTTCTCCAAGCTAAGATCTTTTGGGGAAGAAGAGCTTATAAATTGATCAGAATTTGCTCCCACAAGTTCCAGTGAGCAGAGTAGTAACTGAGAACCCAGGCTTTGTGGCCTTATAAATCTGAATCTACTAGCTGTGTATTCTTGGGAAAGTTACTTAACATCTTGGAGCCTCAATATTCTCATTAAAAAATGAGAATTTAAAAGTAGCATTGTCATAGGTACTGATGGCTATGTGGTGTCATGTGATTCTTGGCGCAGGTCCTTCATGACATTGTAACTATTGTTTTAATTGCACCATGCACTACAAATAAAATGTTGTATGAATTAAATGGAGCTACCTTAACTAAAATAGGTGGTAATTAATGAAAAATGCTAATCATAACCAGAAAAAAAATTTATTTTTTTCTTTTTAAATCAGGATCCCTGATAAAAATCTACCCAGAATACAAATCTACCCAAAATGAGATTATCATCCACAATCTCATGTAAAAATATCTAGGCTGGCACGGTGGTTCACACCTGTAATCCCAGCACTTTGGGAGGCCAACTGGGGCGGATCACCTGAGGTCAGGAGTTTGAGACCGGCCTGGCCAACATGGTGAAACCCTTCCCCTACTAAAAATACAATAATTAGTGGGGCATGGTGGCGGGTACCTGTAATCCCAGCTACTCAGGAGGCTGACACAGGAGAATCATTTGAACCCGGGAGGTGCAGGTTGCAGTGAGCTGAGACAATGCCTTTGCACTCCAGCCTGGGTGACAAGAGTGAAACTCCATCTCAAAATAAATAAATAAATAAAAATATTTAAAACCTAGATTTTTTAAAAAGCATTTGGTAGCCTGACCAATAACTGGAGAGAGAAAAAGTGATGCTCCAAGAATAAACTATTATATTTTAATTCTCAAGTCATTTAAATTGATAATTTTATGGGTCCTTGCACATAAACAGCTGAAATGTTAAATCAATTCATTAAAGTGTTCATAAATTCACTAAATGTTCTTAATCATCATTAAGCCTTAAACAACCTGTGACATCAAAATGATTACAGAGAAACAGTGATAAATTACTTTGAGTTATCAACTATATATTTAAATACTGGGATACTGGTCTAAGTTATTTGGTATTTTAGGGGATATTAAGTATTCCATCTCTAATATAATTTATATTATGTCATGCTTCCCATAAGTTTTTAAACAGAAACTTTAAGAAAGTGATTATGCACTTAAAAAATCATATCAAGCAATATAAAATCTGAACACCAGATTGGTACAAAACATGAATATCACATAAAAGTAACCTAGCATTGAAAATGAGAAGCTGTTACCCTGTGAAATTATAATGTAAAAACACACTAGATAAAATGCAGTATCTTGAGTATAATCTGTTACAAATTCTGAAATTGTGTACAAAATGTATATTATATGGATTTTAAGACCTCTCCCAAATGTAGACTTTTGACATACCTGGCCTGTAAAAGATATATAGGCTGACAGACCTAGGGGAAAAAATGCTATGTTCTGAGCCCAATGTGCCTCTTTGGTCCATAAGTATCATTTACAAGAATAATCATGATTCTCTGATTCCAAACTGTTGCCCCCATTATGAGCCGATTGCTCATACCTGTGGCACCAGTCACTCCATCAAACCTTTATTCTGGGCTGCACACTCCTGGAAGGAACCATAAAGGAGGTCTGAGGGCAAATATCCTTTGTGTTAGGATCTGGCTCATGTCCACATCCCCCTTGCTGGTGCCATATTCAATCCATGAGGACCTACTGGATTCTAGACCTTAGTAGTAGACATAAAATTCCAGAACAGTTTATGGAATTTTACTATGTGGTCCTTCTGTTTCTTAGCATTTTTGTCTTAATCAGTTTAGGCTGATATAATAAATTATCATAAACTGCGTGGCTTAAACAAGAAATATTTATTTCTCATAGTTCTGGTGGCTGGCAAGTCCAAGATCAAGGCATCAGCATGGTTGAGTTCCAGTAACTGCTGATTGCAGACTGCTGATTTCTTATTTTATTCCTACATGGTGGAAAAAGAGCAAGCTAATTCTCTGGCCTCTCCTGTCCAATTTGTAAAATTTCATATTCAGACATGTAAAAGTTATAATGCTTATTTCAAATTGAGAATCAGTAGGGTGATAGGCATTTTAGCAAGAAACATAATTATCTCCATATATAAACTAATTTTAAATATTACAGTTTAGTTTTCCAGGTACTAATTCCTTGGCTCATATAAAATGTATACTTCAGAAAATCTCTTTCCTTGTTTCTGCTTTTTATTCCAATATTATAACTTCTCATAAAAATGAAATAAGATAAATTTAAATGCTGTGTAATTCAGCTATCTGGAAAAGGACATCATTCTTCTGATGACACTGAACATGTAGATGAGGAATCATAATGGAGGAAAGCTATCTTAGTGGGACCAAGTATCCCAGTGGTCACAGACTTAAGGGAAGGGATTCAGGATGTTAGGGATGTAGGGGAGGAAAAACACCATTTACTTCCACTATCTTTTTGTCCATAGTCAATTTTGTCTGAGAGTAGTGATTGCTTTAGAGGTGAAGAGCTAAGAAAGACAGATTCATCTTCATTTCTGACCATTTCACCTCCAAATATGCATTAAAAGCACTAGTGTAAACTAATTTTATTACTCCTATCCTCCTGCAAGCCTGGAGGACATTGCCTGTGTCCCCCACATTGACTTCTTCAAGCAGTTTTTGATTCAATTGTTTCCACCCTGACATAACATAAAAGACAATATGGAACACACAGGTAACATTTATATCCTGGAAGGCTTTCTCTACCTCAGAGAGATGACAGATGTCTCCATGTATAAAGTTGATTCCTTCCAGAATGGTTTGAGCAGGGATACTTATGTCAAACAGAATCATATGGACTCCCTTCTGATTCAGAAACAGCCTAGGCAGAACCCAAAATATCTACCACTTCCTGTAATGACAACAATTTCTTTTTAAAAAAATAATTTTGATTTTATTTTATATTCAGGGGACATAGCTGCAAGTTTTTACACAGGTATGTGGAATAATGCTGATGTTTAGGATATGGATTCCATCACCCAGGTAGTGAGCATATTACCTAACAGGCAGTTTTTCAACCCATCTCCCCTCCCTCCTGCCCCTTCCAGTAGTTCACAGTGCCTAGTGTTACCATATTTATGTCAATGTGTACTCAGTGTTTAGCTCCCACTTACAAGTGAGAACAAGCTGTATTTGGTTTTCCATTCCTATATTATAACAATTTACTTAGGGTTATGGCCTCCAGTTGCATCCATGTTTCTGAAAAGGACATGATTTCATTCTTTTCTATAGCTGTGTAGTATTCTGTGGTGTATATGTACTACTACTACATTTTTAAAATTCAATCTACCGTTGATAAGCACCCAGGTTAATTCCATGTCTTTGCTATTGCGAATAATGCTGTTATGAACATACAAGTGTATGTGTCTTTTTGGTAGAATGATTTATTTTCCCTTGGGTATATGCCCAATAATGGGATTGGTAGGTTAAATGGTAGTTCTAAGTTCTTTGAGAAATCTTCAATTGCTTTCCACAGTGGCTGAACCAGTTTACATTCCCCTCAACAGTTTATAAGCATTCCCTTTTATGCACACACAGCCTCACCAGCATCTGTTGTTTTTTGACCTTTTCATAATAGCCATTCTGACTGGGGTGAGGTGGTATCTTATTGTAGTTTTGATTTGCATTGCTCTGATGATAGTGATGTTGGACATTTTTTCATATGTTTGTTGGCCACTTGTATGCCTTCTTTTGAGAAGTATCTGTCCATGTCCTTTGCCCATTTTTTAATGGGGTTATTTGTTTGTTTTTTCTTGATTTGTTTGAGCTCCTCATAGGTTCTGGATATTAGACCTTTGTTAGATGCATACTTTGCAAATATTTTCTCCTATTATGTAGGTTGTCTGTTTACTGACAGTTTCTTTCGATGAGCAGGAGCTTTTTAGTCTAATTGGGTCCCACATGTCAGTTTTTGGTTTTGTTGCAATTGCTTTTGGGGACTTAGCCAAAAATTCTTTGCCAAGGCTGATGTCCAGAATACTGTTTTTCCTAGATTTTCTTCCAGGATTCTTATAGTTTGAGGTCATACATTTAAATCTTGAATTCATTTTGAGTTAATTTTTGTATACGATAAAAGGTAGGGGTCCAGTTTCATTGTTCTGCATATGGCTAGCTAGTTATTTCAGCACTATTTATTGAATAGGGGACCCTTTTCCCATTTTTTTGTGGGCTTTGTCAAAGAGCAGATGGCTATAGGTGTGCAGAACTGCTTCTGGATTATCTATTCTGTTCCATTCATCTGTCTTTTTTTGTACCAGGACCAAGCTGTTTTGCTTACTGTAGCCTTATAGTATAGTTTGAAGTTGGGTAGTGTGATGCCTCCAGCTTTGTTCTTTTTGCTTAGGATTGCTTTAGCTATTCGGGCTGTTTTTTGGTTCTATATGAATTTTAGAATAGTTTTTTCTAGTTCTGTGAAAAATGACATTGGTAGTTATAGCATTAAATCTTTAAACTGCTTTGGGCAGCATGGTCATTTTAACAATATTGATTCTTCCAATCCATCAGCATGGAATTTTTTTTTATTTATTTGTGTCATCTGTGATTTCTTCCAGCAGTGGTTGGCAGTTCTCCTTGTAGAGATCTTTTTTCTTTTTCACATTATGGAACCTTTACTTTTCATGTGATTTCTGTACATAAGGAGTATGAGAGTAACCCTTTCACAAATGAAACTAATCTACTAGAATAAACAATGACAAAACTGAACTGGTATTTGATGTAAATCCACAGGCGTTTAAGCTTCAAATTCAGCATCTGATTCTTCTGAGATCTTTCCATCAGCCCTGGTAGTGCCCAACAGGGCTTGGTGCCAGCTGACATGAGACAAGAAAGCATTCTCAAACTTTGTAATCTTGCTGGGCTCCCGTTTATCAAGATAGCCCCTAATACCCACATGGATAACAGCCACTTGTTCTTCAATAGCCATGGGAGTATACTGTCTTTGCTTCAGCAACTCAGTTAGACACACACCACAACTCAAAAGTTGTTGAGTGGCAGCATCGAGGTCAGAACTGAACTGGGCAAAAGTGGTGACCTCATGATACTGAGCCACTTCCAGCTTCATGGTACCTGCCACCTGCTTCATAGCCCTGGTTTGGGCAGCAGATCTGACACGAGACACAGACAGACCGACATTAATGGTAGGGTGGATACCTTTGTAGAACAATTCTGTTTCCAAGAAGATCTGTCCGTTCGTGATAGAAATGACATTCATTGGAATGTAAGCAGACACATCACCAGTCTGTTTCTATGACTGGCAAAGCAGTCAAGGAGCCACCACCAAAAGCATTGTTCATCTGGGCTGCTCTCTCTAGCAACTGGGAGCATAGGTAGAACACAACACCAGGATAGGCCTCACAACCAGGGGGTTGGCAGAGCAACAGAAACATCTGATGGTAAGCAACAGCCTGTTTGGATAAGTTGTCATAGATGGTCAAAGCATGTTTGCCATTGTCTCTAAAATACTCTCCCATGGAACAGCCAGTGTAAGGAGCCAGTTACTGAAGTGGGGCAGCATCTGAGGCCGTAGCTGACACCACGATGGTGTAATTCATGGCATCTGCATCGTAAGTCTCTTCACCAACTGGGCAACAGTGGATCTCTTTTGACCAATAACAACATAGACACAGTACAGCTTCTTCTTTTCATCAGATCCATCATTGAAACATTTCTGGTTAATGATTGTGTCAATAGCAATTGAGATTTTCCCAGTCTGTCCATTACCAATAATCAGCTCACACTGACCATGGCCAATTGGCACCAAGCTATTTACAGCCTTAATGCCAGTCTGCATTGGTTCCTGCACTGAAATTTGAGGAATGATTCCAGGGGCTTTCAGACCAACTCACCTATGGTTCTTGGAACCAAATGGACCCTTTCCATCAATGGCATTACGAAGGGCATCAACCACATGACCCAACAGCTCCTCACCAACTGGAATGTCCACAATGGCTCTTGTCCTCTTCATTCTAGCTCCTTCCTTAATTAGTTAATCATTTCCAAACACGACAACACCAACATTGTCAGGTTTGTAGAGATCTTTAACCTTCTTGGTTAGCTGTATTCCTAGGTATTTCATTTTTGTGTGTGGCTATTGTAAATGGGATTGTGTTCTTGATTTGGCTCTCAGCTTGAACATTATTGGTGTATATGTAACCAGCTCAAGTCCAGCTGCTCTCCTCTCAGAAGTCAAAGCATGAGAACTGAGGTGTGGTGAAAGGAAAGCAACTTTTATTGGTCAAATGCTAGCAGATGGGAGAATGTCTGGGCATAAGCCTCAAAAGAGCCATCTCAGCCTTCTGGGCCGAGTGAAGGGGTTTAAGAAGGAAAAAGGTGTGGGATATAGACATGAGTAGTGAAAAGGGAGTGCATATCTGCATGTCTTGTTCCCATAGTTATCTCAAGTAATCTCCCATCTAGAGATCTGATTTGCATCATCCGGACTTGGGCGTAACTCCCCTTGAGTGGGAAGATCTGCGGCTTGGTCTCTCTGCCTGGTTTGTTTCAAAATTGGCTCCTGGAATTTCTAAGCAAGCACATAGTTAGATGAGCAAGCACTGTACACAGATATGCCTGTAGGGAAAGGGCATAACAAAGAGTCTTACACTATAAGGCTACATTCTGAGATTAGGAAGGAAAGGAAAAAAATAGTTTAAAAATGTATTTCGAGGCTGAGGTACTCAGATATATATAGAAATGCTATTGATTTTTGTACATTATTTTTGTACCCTGAAACATTACTGAAGTCATTTAGCAGTTTGACGGGCCTTTTGGCAGAGTCTTTAGGGTTTTCTAGATATAGAATCATATTATCAGTGGCCAAGCATGGTGGCTTACACCTGTAATCTCAGCACTTTGGGAGGCTGAGGCAGGCAGATCACTTGAGGTCAGGAGTTCAAGACCAGCCTGGCCAACAGGGTGAAACCCCATCTCTACTAAAAAATACAAAAATTAGCCGGGCGTGGTGGTGAATACCTGTAATCCTAGCTACTCTGGAGGCTGAGGCAGGTGAATCACTTGAACCCAGGAGGCAGAGGCTGCAGTGAGCTGAGATGGTGCTACTGCACTCCAGCCTGGGCAACAGAGGGAGACTCAGTTTCAAAAAAAGAGAGAATCACACTGTCAGTGAAGAGAGATAATTTGACCTCTTCTTTTTCCCATGCGGATGTCTTTGTTTGTTTGTTTGTTTGTTGTTTTTGTTTTTGTATTTTTAGTAGAGACAGGGTTTCACTGTGTTAGCCAGGATGGTCTCGATCTCCTGACCTCGTGATCTGCCCACCTCGGCCTCCCAAAGTGCTGGGATTACAGGTGTGAGCCACCACACCCAGCCGCGGATGTCTTTTATTTCTTCCTCTTGCCTAATTGCTCTGGCTAGGACTGTTAGTACTACATTGAATAGCAGCAGTGAGAGTAGGCATCATTGTCTTGTTTTTGTTCTTAGGGGGAATGCTTCTGGCTTTTGCCCAGTCAGTATGCTGTTGGCTGTGGGTTTGGTGTAGATGGCTCTTATTATTTTGAGGTATGTACCTTAGATGCCTAGTTTGTTGAGGGCTTTTATCATGAAGGGATGTTGGATTTTATTGAAAGCTTTTTTTGCATCTACTGAGATGATCATATGGGTTTTGCTTTTAATTCTGTTACTGTGGTGGATCACATTTATTGATTTGCATATGTTCAACCAGCCTTGAATCCCAGGAGTAAAGCCTGCCTTATTGTAGTAAATTAACTTTTTGATGTGCTGCTGGATTCAGTTTGCTAGTATTTTGTTGAGAATTTTCGCACCTATGTTCGTTAGGTATATTGGCCTGAAGTTTTCTTTTTTTGTTGTGTCTCTGCCAGATTTTGGTATCAGACTGATTCTGGCTTCATAGGATAAGTTAGAGAGGTACCCTTCCTTTTCGATTTTTTTGAATAGTTTCAATATGATTGGTACCAGTTCTTCTTTTTATGTCTGAGAGAATTTGTCTGTGAATCCATCTGGTCCAGGGCTTTTCTTTTTCTTTTTCTTTTTTTTCTTTTGGGGTTGGCAGTTTCTTTAATACTGATATAATTTTGGAACTTATTGGTCTGTTCAAGTTTTCATTTTCTTTCTGGTTCAATATTGGGAATTTGTGTGTTTCCAGGAATTTATCCATTTTCTCTAGGTTTTCTTAATTTGTGTACATAGAGCTGTTCATAATAGTCTCTGAGGATCTTTTGTATTTTTGTGGGATCAGTTGCAATGTCTTCTTTGTCATTTCTGATTGTACTTATTTAGATCTTCTCTTTTTTTCTTTGTTAATATAGCTAGTGGTTTATTGATCTTGTTTATTCTTTTGAAGAAAAAACACTTTGTTTCATTGATCTTTTCTATGGATTTTTGTGTCTAAATTTCATTCAGTTCTTCTCTAATTTTAGATATTTATTATCTTCTGCTTGCTTTGGGGTTGGCTTGTTTTTTTCTAGTTCCTCTAGTTGCAAAGGTACATTGTTAATTTGAGACCTTTCTAATTTCTTGCTGAAGGTTCTTAGTGCTATAAACTTTCCTCTTAATACTGTTCTAGCTGTGTTCCAGAGATTTTGGTAAGCTGTGTCCCTATTTTCATTTATTTCAAAGAATTTTTTTATTTCTTCCTTAATTTTATTGTTCACCGAGGAGTTATTCTGGAGCAAGCTGTTCAATTTCCATGTATTTGTGTAGTTTTGGGGAGCTAGGACTGGCTTTCAGCTTCATCCTCCAGACCCTTGAGATTGGGCCCCAGCTGTTCTGGGGGATCCAAAGTGCTCCCAGGCCACCAGGAAGGTACTCAGGTGAAGCAAAGCACCCAGGCTTGGCAGCAGAGGCTACTCTGTGCACAACTCCTGCAGGGTGGCCAGGCAGGGGCCCTGGAAGTTTCCCAGTCCCACAGGGAAGCCAGCCACACTCTCTCTTGGGCCAGCAATCAGCTGAGGCTAGAGCTGCCTGTAGGGAGGTGGGGAGCCCTGGGGGATGGGTGTCTAGGCCATGCTCGGCCACAGCTCCACATGCACAAAAGCTCCTAGGCTCCATGCCGGTGAAGCCCTGTCTCTGCCAACTCTCTTTGAAGATCCCCCTGCCAGCTCAAATGTCCATGGAGAATGTGAAGTTCTATGTACCTAGGATCCCAGAGGTCCACAGTGAGAGTGGCCTGTCCCTCCATCCCTTCACTTATCCCTTCCCCAGGAGGCATTCAGGTCTGGGAACTAGCCCTGTCATGCAAGTATCCTGTGCAGGGTTTCCAGCTTCCTCCCTCTTCAGCCTTGTTGTCTGCATCACCTCTGTAATGACTCTCAGCATTTTCTCTCTGAAGATGGGCTCAAAATACATTGGTGTACTCAATATTTTGGTGTCTCTCAGTGGGAGCAGTGCTTCCTGGCTGTGTCTAGTTGGCCATCTTGTTATGGTAACAATTTCTTTTGGAGATTTTTTGGAGTCCACTTGTGGCAGTCAAAAGATAACTAGACAGTGGTGGCAGATGACAACTGGGTCCACAGATTGCACAACGAAGAGTAGCCTGTGGCAGAGAGCTTATTTGAAGAAATGGCTGAAAACTTCCCAAATCTGAAAAACGAAATGGACAACCAAATTTCAGCAGCTTGAAGGACTCTGTCTAAGATGAACCTAAAGATCCAACACAATGACACATTATAATCAGTCAAAAGTCCAAGACAGACAATCTTGAAAGCAGCAAGAGAAAGGTGACTTATATACAAGAGAACTCTCATAAGATTATCAGCAAACTCATCAGCAGGAACATTCCAGACTGAAAGGGAATGGGGTAGTATATTCAAAGGGCTGAAAGAGAAAGAAAACTGCCAACTAAGAATAGACAGCAAATCTGCCCTTCAAAACTGAAGGAGAAATAAAGATCTTCCCAGATAAGCAAAAGCTGAAGAAGTTCATCACCATTAACCTACCTTGCTAGAATTACTAACGGTAGTCCTTTCAGTTGAAATAAAAGAAAGCTAGATACCAACTTGAAAGCATACAAAAGTATAAGGCTCTCTGGTAAAGGTAAACATATAGTCAAATGCAGAATCTAGGCCATGCGCAGTGGCTCAAGCATGTAATCTCAGAACTTTGGGAGGCTGAGGTGGGTGGATCACGAGGTCAGGAGATCGGGACCATCCTGGCCAACACGGTGAAACCCTGTCTCTACTAAAAATATAAAAAATAAAATAAAATAAAAGTAGCAGGGCATGGTGGCGGGTGCCTGTAGTCCCAGCTACTCAGGAGGCTGAGGCAGGAGAATGGCATGAACCCAGGAGGCAAAACTGGCAGCGAGCTGAAATTGCACCACTGCACTCCAGCCTGGGTGACAGAGTGAGACTCTGTCTAAAAAAAAAAAAAAATGCAGAATCTTGTCATACTACAATAGTGGTCCATAAATCATTTTTAAATCAGGTATAAATAAAAGCATAAAAATAACCATAATTATTAAATTATATTAATGGATACAAAATACTAAAAGTATAATTTGTGACATTGATAATGTAAGGTGAATTGGAGGTAAAAGAGTAGAGGTTTTGTATGCAATTGAATTAAATTTTTAGTTTAAATAAATTGTTATAGCTATAAGATGTTTTATATAATCCCCATGGTAACTTACAGAGAAAATTGCTATAGAAGACATACCAAAGAAAATAAGGAAGTCCTCAAAGCATAACACTACAAAAAAAATCAATGAAACACAAAGGCAGCAAGAGAGGAAAAGAGGGACAAACAACTCTAAGACATACTGAAAACAATTAACAAAATTGCAATAGTAAGTCCTTCCCCATCAATAATTACTTTAAGTGTGAATGGATTAAACTCCGCAGTCAAAAGACCGAGTGGCGGAATCAATTTTAAAAAGATCCAATTGCATGCTATCTACAAGAGGTTCACTTAGCTTTGAAAACATACACAGGCTGAAAAGGAAGGAATAGAAAAATATATTCCATGCAAGAGGTAACCAAAATAGCAAGGGTGCCCATACATATATCAGACAAAATAGACATTAAGCTAAAAACTGTCACAAGAGAAAAACAAGACACATCATATTGATGAAAGTGTCAATTCACAGTACAACACTTATAAGTCTATATGCACCAAACAGCAGAGCACCCAAATACATGAAGCAAACATTGATAGAACTGGAGGAAGAATTAGATTAAAAAAATAATAGGAGGAGATTACAATACTCTTTTTCAATAATAAATAGATCAACCAGAAAGAAAAATAATAAGGAAATAAAGGACTTGAACAATACTAAAAGTGAATTGACTCTAATAGATATATAAACAATATTCCACCCTATGTTAATATACACATTCTTCTCAGGTGCACATAAAACAGTCTCCAAGACAGAACACATATTAGGACACAAAACAAGTTTTAACAATTCAAAAAAAAACTGAAAGAAAACCAACTATATTTTCTAATAATCATGAAACTAGAAATCTGGACTAGAAAACTCTGAACTAGAAAATTCACAAAGATGTGGAAATTAAGCAATATACTCTTGAACAACTTGATGAGTCAAGAAATCACTATTTAACAGTATTTTAAAGCAGGTGAAAATGAAAACACAACACACCAAAACTGTGGCAGTAAATGTTTGTATTTTTAAAAGAAGATCCCCAATCAATAATTGGAGATAATTTTGTATCTCAAAGAACTAGAAAAAGAATAGCAAACTAAATCCAAAGTTAGTAAAAGGAAGGTCCTAGATTACAGTTAGCAAAAGGAAGGTCGTAGATTACAGAAAACATAAATGAAATAGAGAATAAATTAAAAAAAATAGAAAAATCAATGAAATAAGAGTTTTTTTAAAAAATAAAAAATTTAACAAATTCTTTCAATAAGTAAGAAAATAGAAGTCTAAAGTAGAGTAACACAAATCAGAAATGAGACATTAAAAATGAGGACGCAGAAGTAAAAAGATTACGAGAGACTGCTATGAACAATACTCCAGTACATTGGATAACTTAGAAGAAATAAATTCTTAGAAATATACTACCTACCAAGATTGAATTGTGAATAAATTAAAATCTGAACACATCTATAACTTAGGAGATTGAATTAGTAATCAAAAATCTCCCAATGAAGAAAAGCCCCAGGACTAGACGGTTTCACTGATGAGTTTTACCAAACATTTAAAGAGTAGTTAGCATCACTCTTTCTCAAACTCTTCTGAAAAATTTCAGAAGAAAAAATACTTTCATTTTATGAGGCCAGTATTACCTTAATACCAATGCTAAAGAAGGACACCACAAAAAGACTACACACCAATAATCTTGCTAAATGTTGATGCAAAAATTCTCAACAAAATATCATAAACTTAATTCAGCAGTACACTATGACCAAGTGGTATTTATTCCTGGGATGCAAGGATGGTTCAACATACAAAAATTAGTCAATGCAATACACTATATTAACTGACAGAAAGGTAAAAAAGTCACATGATCATCTCAATTAGTGCAATAATAAGCTTTTAATAAAATTCAGCACCCTTTCATGTAAAATTCAATAATATAGAAATAAAAGAAAATTACATCAACATATAAAAAGCCCTATAGGTAATGCCCATAGCTACCATCATACTCAAGCTTTCCCCCTACAAATAGAAACAAGGCAAGCATGCCCAGTCTTGCCATGTCTATTCAACACAGTACTGAAAGTTCTAGCCAGAGCAATTAGGCAAGAAAAAGGAGTAAAAAGCATTCAATTTTGAACGGAAGAAATAAAATTATCTCTGTTTGCAGATGATATAATCTTACATGTAGAAAACCTGAAGGATTACACACACACACACACACACACACACACACACACACACACACACAGAGACAACTGTTACAACTAATAAACTAATTCAGTAAAGTTGCAGGAAACAAAATCAACCCACAAAAATCAGTTGCATTTCTAGACACTAAGAATAAATAATCAGAAAAGAAAATGTTTTTAAATCCCCTTTACAAGAGCATCAAAAAGAATAAAATACTTAGGAATAAACTCAACCAAAGAGGCAAAAGACCTGTATACTGAATACTCTTAATATTGCTGAAAGTAATTAATGAAGACACGAATAAATATAAAGACATCCCATGTTCCTGGATTGGAAAAGAATATGGTTACAGTGTTCATACTACCCCCCAAATCTACAGATTCAATGCAGTCCGTATAAAAATCTCATTGGAATTTTTTGCAGAAACAGAAAAAAAATCCAAAATCCATTAGGAGTCTCAAAGTATTCCAAATAGTCAAGACAGTTATGAGAAAGAAAAACAAAGCTGGAGGTCTCACACTTCTCAAGTTCAAAAAACAGTGTAAAGCTACAGTAATCAAAATAGCATAATACTGGAATAAAGACACACATAGAGACCAATGGGCCAGAATAGAGAGCCCAGAAATAAACTCTCACATATGTGGTAAAATAATCTGCCATAAGGGCATCAAGACTATACAATGGGGAAAAGATAGTGTCTTCAACAAATGGTGCTGAGAAAACTTGATATTCACATGTAAAATAATGAAGTTAGACCCTTACCTTCCTGTACCTATATACAAAAATCACTTCAGAATGAATTAACGGCTAGGTGCAGTGGCTCACGCCTGTAATCCCACCACTTTGGGAGGCTGAGGTGGGAGGATCGCTCAAGTCCTGGGCAACACTGCGAACCCGTCTCTACAAAAAATGTAAAAATTCCCCCGGGTGTGGTGGCGCGCACCCTGTAGTGCCACCTACTGGGAGAGGTGGGGGTAAGGCAGGAGGATTGCTTGAGCCCAGAAGGTTGAGGCTGCAGTCAGCTGTGATGATGCCACTGCACTCCAGCCTGGTTGTCAGAGAGAGACCCTGTCTCAAAACAACAAACAAACCAAAATGGATTAATGACCTAAATGTAAGACCTAAAATTATAAAACTGTAATTTATAAAATTATATTTATAAAACTAAAATTTATAAAATTATAACATTATCTAGTAAGATAAAAATATAGGGGAGAAGCTTCATGTTTTTGGATTTGGCAATGATTTCTTGGACATGACACCAAAGGCAGAGGAAATAAAAGCAAAAATATACAAATGCAACTAAATCAAACTTCAGATCTTCTGCATAGAAAGGAAATAATGAAGAGAGTGAAAAGGCAACCTACAGAATGGAAGAAAATATTTGCAAACCATGCATCTGATGAGGGTTAATATCCAAACATATAGAGAATTCCTACAACTCAACATCAAAACTAGACAAACAAACAAACAAAAAACCCTATTAACAAAGTATTTGAATAGACATTTCTTTAAGGATGACATCAATATGGCCAACATTGAAAAATATGTTCAATATCACTAATCAGAGAAATGCAAATCAAAACCACAATGAGATGTCACCTCACATCTCTTAGCTAGACCACTATCCAAAAAAACAAAACAGAAACAGAAAATAAGAAATACTGGCAAGGATATAGAGAACTTGAAACCCTTGTGCACTGTTGGTGTCAACGTAAAATGGTGTAGCCACTATGGAAAACAGAGGTTCTTCAAAAAATTTAAAACAGGACTACCATATAGTCCAGCAATCCCACTTCTGGGTATATATCAAAAAAATTTAAAGTAGGATTTTGAAAAGATATTTGCACATCCATCTTTATTGCAGTATTACTCACAATAGCCAAGAGTTGGAAGAACACTAATATCTCCTGACAAATTAATGTATAAACCATATATTCACTGGAATATTATTCAGCCTAAAGAAAGAAGAAAATCTTACCATATGCTACAACACGGATAAAGCTTGAGCACATTATGCTACATGAAATATGCCAGTCATGAAAGGAATAATGCTGCATGATTCCCTGTGTATACATTTTCGAAAGTAATCAAATTCATAGAAACAGAAAGTAGAATGTGACAACCAGAGCTAGGGAAGAGGGGGAAATTGGGAGTTTTTCCACGGGTACAGAGTTTCCCTTTGGCAAGATGAAAAAGTTACAGAGGCCTATTGCACAACAACTTGCATACAGTTAACAGTACTGTAATGTACACTTGAAAATGGTTAAAATGTTAAATTTTGTTATTTTTTCTTTACTCACAAAAAAGGAATGAGGAGCTGATACATGCCACAACATGGAGAACCCTGAAAACATTATGTTAACTGAAAGAAGTCAGTAACAAAAGACCACATATTATTGACTCCATTCATAAGAAATGTCCACAATAGGACAATCTACTGGGAGAAAGAAGCCTAGGTGCTGCTTAGGAAGACAAGGAGTAATAGCTGAAGCATGTGGCTTTTTTTTCTTTCTTTTTTTTTCTTAAGATGGAGTCTTGCCCTGTCACCCAGGCTGGAATGCAGGGTTCAAGCAATTCTCCTACCTCAGCCTCCCAAGTAGTTGGGACTACAGGCGCGTGCCACAGTGCCTGGATAATTTTTGTATTTTTAGTAGAGATGGGGTTTCACCATATTGGCCAGGCTGATCTCAAACTCCTGACCTCGTGATCTGCCCGCCTCGGCCTCCCAAAGTGCTGGGATTACAGGCGTGAGCCACTGCGCCCGGCCATGGCTTTTATTTCTGAGGTGATAAAAGTGTTCAAAAGTTGACTGTGGGGATGGTTGCACATATCTCTAAAACACTAAAAAATATTGAATTGTAAATTTTATATGGGTGAATTGTACGGTGCATGAGTCGTACCTCAATGAAGCTAGGTAGAAAGTAAACTCTATTGTCTTCTCTTTCCCCTGGCGAAACACCTCAGCTTAGGGCAAGTCTGAACAGAAACCTTGCCTCTCAGTGAAGGAAATAGGAGTCATCTCAACTTCACTTGTAGTCCATCTAATCATCTATGCCACCACAGCTCTCTGATATCTTTAAAACGATTACATTTCCAATTTCTTTACTTTTTGAACTACTTGTTCCAGTGGGAGTGATGCAGTGCCACTGCCTCCTATATTCTACCTAGAATCAGAACTTCAGCTCCAATCCCTTTGGCCTGATTTCTGCTCCTCAAGTACCCCAAAGCCTTTCCCACTTCACTGTACTTACCATTTCCTCCTCTTGAAATGGTTTTCTTTCAAATAGCCGCTAGGCATTTTCTCATTACATTCATTTCTTCAGGGTTAATGCCACCAAAAAGCCTTCCTTCCCAGACTACCCTAACTAGCTGGCGCACTTTTACCTTCTATCACTCTGTAACTCCCTTCCCTGCTTTATTTTCTTCGTGGCACTTGTCACTCTCTGACACCCTATATAGTATATATGTTTAATGACTATTTCCCTTACTAGAATGTAAGTGCCAGGGGCTACTTTGTCTTTCTTGCTCTTCACTGAATTCCCAACACAAGCATTGGAACTAGTGTATAGTGCATTCCCAGTGAATACTGAGTGAAAGAATACACTCCACTTTCAATGGGTCCTCCTGGTTACAACTTCCTGTATTTTTTTTTTTTTTTTGAGACACAGTCTCGCTCTGTCGCCCAGGCTGGAGTGCAGTGGCGCGATCTCGGCTCACTGCAAGCTCCGCCTCCTGGGTTCATGCCATTCTCCTGCCTCAGCCTCCCGAGTAGCTGAGACTATAGGCGCCCGCCACCGCGCCCGGCTAATTTTTTTTGTATTTTTAGTAGAGACGTGGTTTCATCGTGGTCTCGATCTCCTGACCTCGTGATCCACCCACCTCGGCCTCCCAAAGGGCTGGGATTACAGGCCTGAGCCACCGCGCCCAGACTACAATTTCCTGTATTATTCAGTCTGTGCATTTTTCTGTATTGCTGGGCACTGGGTTGTCAGGCAGCTGTGATAGGTATCAGGACTAAAACAACAAACATGCACAGCCTCTGTCCATAGGAACTTACTTATTGGGGATTCACACAAATAAAATATGCACTTGGATTTGAGGGAGTAAATGATGTCATTCGTGGAACACACAAACTGTAAGGAGAGAAGAATGAACATAGAGGATCACCGCATGTCATGACAGGCAGAGTAACTGAACATAGAGGTGAGTGGGAGAAGACCAGGAACCTCTGGTGGCCCAGAGGCAGGGTACACGGTTTATAAAAAGAAATGCCTGGCCAGGCACAGTGGCTCACGCCTGTAATCCCAGCACGTTGGGAGGCTGAGGCGGGTAGATCATCTGAAGTCAGGGGTTCGAGACCAGCCTGGCCAACATGGTGAAACCCTGTCTCTGCTAATAATGCAAAAATTAGCCAGGCATTGTGGCAGGCACGTGTAATCCCAGCTACTTGGGAGGGTGAGGCAGGAGAATCACTTGAACCCAGGAGGTGGAGGTTGCAGTGAGCAGAGATTGTGCCATGGCACTCCAGCCTTGGGCAGCAAGAGCGAAATTCTGTCTCCACCCCCCCCCCCCCCACACACACACACACAATGCCTGCAGAGTTCAAAGACTGAAGAAAGTAAGTGCCCTGTGCATTTTCTAATAAAGAGGCTTTGTTGACCCTGGAAGGGACCGCTGCAGTAGAATAGTGGAGAAGATGCCAAACTGCAGGAGGCTGGAGAGAGAATGAAATGAATGAGGAGGGGAGCATGGACAACTGTACCGCGGGTCTGAAGAATGTAGAAGATATAGGGAAATACTTAGAAGCAAACATGATGGTTGAGAGTGGTCATATTGATTGGTTAAAGATAGGACAGAAATAAATAAGTGTAAGTGTTGCTGGGGAAGTGAGCCGGTAGGATGGAGAATTTTCAGGTAGAGGAGAGAGGGATAAGCTAACTGAGGTAATGGCTGAGCTAACAGAGTACAGGTAGAATGGTTGGGCATGGAGGGAGATATATCTTCCCCTAGGCAAGGTTGGCACAGAGATAGGTGAATGCTTTTAGGAACGAAGGCAGAAGTGAGAGGGAACAAACTCAAATGTTATACTTTTTTCTACCATAATACCCAGCACCCTTTGCCTGGCACATAACAGATGTCTAGTAAGTAAGTGCAGAATAAATGAATTACACTTTCATATGGTGATGTAATAAAGAAAACTAAAGCACAATAGAAGTTTGAAATATGCTCTGTGGGAAGTGAAAGAGAAAGTTGCCCAGGAAAATATAGAAATACCAGGTGGTATTCCAATTGAGTTTGGCAACTATGCCTTTCAAATGAACTTTTAATGCAGTTATATGAGTTTCTCCATCTGTAGGAGAGTTGTTTGTGTAGGAGGAGAACAGAAGACGGTCTGGTGGATGATGATGTGGAATTTTTTTCCACAGGAGGTACGGTAGGAAGACAAAGTAGTAGAGTAATGGGAATACTGATAAAGACTGTCACACTAACCCAATTCATTCTTTACAATACAATGAAGAAAGGCAGAGTGGAGGTGACGAGTGATGGCTGGAGGAATGCAGTTTGGAATAAGTGTGTATGTATGTGATATTATAATAGAATATTTCGAAGCTCCAGCATGTCTAGGATTTGGCTGTGGAAGTGGATGGCTGACAATCCTGAGACTGACAAGATCATGCAACTTAGAGTTTGGAGTATGGGAAGGGGTGTCCTCATTGTCCTTTTCAAATCTCTTCTCGAGATACATGGTCATTTCACCATGAATTGTGAGTGTATCACACATAATTTATTACGAATAATCACTGTGAATTTTTTAATAATATAATTTAGCAACTACTATGTGCCAGATACAAAAATGATGGTGAAACTTAGAGAAAAAGCTTCAAAGTCTTCAGTAAAAGCAAAAGAGTGTGAGAAAGAAGCAGAGGGTCACATGGCTGGATGTTGTCAGCCTCAAGGGAAAGGGTTTGTTTCAGAGGAGGAATGGTCTGGAACTGCACTGAGGATGGAGAACACTGGCCTCTCCTCCCAACCCCAAGAAGCCTCCAACTCTGAGAAGCATCCCTTTGAATTGCTGGAGGTGGGAGGTGGGCAGTGTCTTTATAGAAGGCTCACTTAAGTCAAGGTGTGTAAGGTAGAGGATGTGGAGGGAGTTGATGAGAATGGAATGGTGTTCCAGAGAGAGTATGGTGGAGACATTTGGAGGCAGAATGGACTAAGAGAAAGAACGAAGAGAGCAGATTACCTTTTGAGTGGAGTGTAAGGATGGGAGAGATGGAGGCATAATCTACAGGTTTAGGGGTAGGAAAGACGGTTCAAACCACCTGAAGAGGAGGGAGTCTGGGTTTAGAGGAAATAGCATATTTGTCACAATCCAGGACCTTCACCACACAGTCTTTCTAGAAAGAAGAATGAAGCCTCTTCTATCCGAGGGAGCATTTTAATTCGGGCTCCATTCTGCATCCTCTGCATGAATGCTGCAAAGTTTCCATATTTGTCTGTGCCTGTGTTTCCCCATTTCTTCAAAAAGAGAAAAAAGGGGAAACGCTTCCAAACTTTTATGTGGTTGCTAGAATTGTATGATCATTTTATATAAATATATATGAATATGCATAGTTTCTGAGAGAGAGAGACAGACAGAAAGACAGAGAGCACTAACACAGTGCCTGGTATATAACAAGGACTCATTAATTAATGATGGTTGTTACTATTATCAGATTTCTATCTTTACTGAATTCTTGTTGATGTTACATTAATATTAGTGTATTCTTACCATGTCATAGTGAAGCACATTTGAACATGTCTGGCACGGTCACTGGTAAGTTGCTTTCTATGAACACATCTTTCCTGCCTCAAGGGTTGATGTGTGTGAGGCAATAATAAAGCAATAATATAAATTCTGTATACCAGAAGGAGGACTCCGCATACTCCTTTCACTGCCCCATTTACCATGGTAGAATATAAGACATGCATCTTTTATAGTCTTATATTTATTTTTAAAGCCTGACCTGTTGCCTTATTTTTGCTCAAAAACATTGATAATTGAATTTTTTTTGTGTGTGTAAGCAAAAAATCAATTAAATATGATACTCTGGATATAATTCTTATATGGTAACTTTTTCAATTGAACATTTTCCCTAATACTAGTCCAGGCAGAATAAAAAACAATGTTCTTCGTTCTGGAAATGTGACAGTTTACTCATCCACACGAACATTTGGAAAATTTGCCCACATTTCTAGATCTTCAAAGTCTGAAGCTCTTTTTCCGTTTATCTCATCCTAAACAAAATTTAAGTACAATGAGGAGGAGCTCTCAGTAATCTTTTTGTCCTTAGTGGCTTTCTGCTTTTCTTTATCATGGGCTGCACTACTAAAAATAAATTGGTACATTGTTGGCCAGCTCCAAAAGAATTGATGATTTAACAGTCAAATAATATGTTTCATAAAATAGTAATTACAGATCAAATAATTTGTTTTCACTCACTACAGAAAATGTAAAATGTTGCCAAACTGGCAACTGCTTAAACAAAAACAATATCAGTTCCAGAAATTCCACACGTATATATTATAATATGCAATATCTATAATCTTAACAGCTTTGTAACTAATGAACTCTAAATGGCTACATACTGTTATAATTTTGTATTTAGATTTTTCTTTTCTTTCTTTTTTTTTTGGAAACCGAGTCTTGCTCTGTCTCCCAGGCTGGAGTGCAGTGGTGCGATCTTGGCTCACTGCACGCTCCGCCTCCCGGGTTCACGCCATTCTCCTGCCTCAGGCTCCCGAGTAGCTGGGACTACAGGCGCCTGCCACCACACCCGGCTAATTTTTTATATTTTTAGTAGAGACGGGGTTTCACCGTGTTAGCCAGGATGGTCTCGATCTCCTGACCTCGTGATCCGCCCGCCTCGGCCTCCCAAAGTGCTGGGATTATAGGCGTGAGCCACCGCACCCCGCCTGTATTTGGATTTTTCTATCCTAACTTTTCTTTAATAATTTGATCCACTGTTCAACAGCAATCAGCAAACATCTATTTACTCAGTAACATTCATCAAGCCTTTCCAACTCATATAACATTATTGCTTCCTACCCTAAAGAAATCTATCTGAAAACATCACTCATAGCTGAACAAATCAGTGCTGGAGCAAAAACTAGAATTCTGATTTTTGGCTCCAGTATATTTCCATGACCTAAACTTGTCTCTTAAACACTGACTACTTGATTACAAGTCCAGATTCTGCAGAACACTGATCATGTTTTTCTGCTGTTGTTAGGACATTTGTTCAAATGACTGGTCTAAATAGTCCATATTAAGGCCTCTCCACAGTAATAGCCTTCCTAGATATAAAGGATCACGGGGGAGAAAATGAAGACAGATTTTTTAAAATTTTGTTTAAGCCCAATTTTTCTTCTTCTATATTGCTTTCAGCACTTGAGGCACATGAAGACTTTGTACGACCTTTTCTCTGAATGGAAAATGAATTCTCCTGCACTCAGCATATCAAATCCTGAGAGACTTTCCTGGACCGACTTTGGCCACCTCAATTTCTGAAATGTTATACTGATTACTTCTTTAAGATATTGTTTGGCCCAAGGTCATGTAACATATGAGTTCATTCTGTGCATGAAGCTCCCCAGAGAACAACGGTACACAATGTCAGTTTGGTTATGGCATCTGAAAACTCATAAGAGCAGACTTTCATTAAAAGCAGTATTACCCCCAGCCCTTGCCTTCTGAGAATTCACATATGAATAATTAGGAGTCTGTAAGTAGGGGCCTACCTGTGGTACATATTTCTCCTGTTTTTGAAGTAAAAGGATATTTCTATAAAGTTTCTCAAACATTTTCTACTTTTTCATCATTGTCAAGTCATTTATTTTTTGAAGTTGAGCTTTACATTTACTTGCATATTTGGAGTTTATAGCCCTGTTGTTTTGTTTTAAATTACAAGATGATAAAAATAAATCTTTAAGTCCTTTCCTAAATTCATCAGTTAATTGTAATCCAATCATATATAAAGAAAAGTATTATTTATTGCCTCTATATTCATCATTAAAAGAAATACATATAAAATTAAAAGGAGCATGCCAGTTAAAAACCAAGAAAGAATACTGGGCTTCTGAGCTTAACAGGGAAATCTATTATCAGACTATTTTAATCATTTTCTAATTGTGCGTATGAAAGACTGACAGAAATATACGTTGTCTTTACTGAGTGCTGGGAGTATGAGTTGTATGATCATAAAATTATAGTCTTAAATATTTGAGACAGACAACTTTCACAGCTAGTTTGCATTTAAAAAGTAATTGTGATTGTATTAGTCAATTTTGCGTTGCTATAAAGGAATACCTGAGGCTGAGTGATTTTTTTTTTTTTTTTTTTTTTTGGGAGGGAGTCTCGCTCTGTCGCCCAGGCTGGGGTGCAGTGGCGCGATCTCGGCTCACTGCAAGCTCCGCCTCCCGGGTTCACGCCATTCTCCTGCCTCAGCCTCCCGAGTAGCTGGGAGTACAGGCGCCCGCCACCACGCTAGGCTAATTTTTTTTTTGTATTTTTAGTAGAGACGGGGTTTCACCGTGTTAGCCAGGATGGTCTCGATCTCCTGACCTGGTGATCCACCCGTCTTGGCCTCCCGAAGTGCTGGGATTACAGGCGTGAACCATCGCGGCCGGCCAAGGCTGAGTGGTTTAGAGGGAAAAGAGATTTATTTTGGCTCACAGTTCTGCAGATTGTACAAAAAGCATGGCATCAGCATCTGCTTCTGGTGAGGCCTCAGGAAGCTTACAATCATGGCAGATGGTGAAGGGGGAGTTGGCCTCTCAGGTGGCGAGAGAGGGAACGAAGTGCCAGACTCTTTTTACCAATCAGACCTCCTGTGAACTAATACAACCAGAGCCCACTCATTACCACAGGGAGGACACCAAGCTTTTCTTTTTTTTTTTTTTTTGAGACAGAGTCTCGCTCTGTCGCCCAGGCTGGAGTGCAGTGGCGCAATCTCGGCTCACTGCAAGCTCCGCCTCCCGGGTCCGAGCCATTCTCCTGCCTCAGTCTCCGGAGTAGCTGGGACTACAGGCACCCGCCACCGCGCCCGGCTAATTTTTTTGTATCTTTTAGTAGAGACAGGGTTTCACCGTGTTAGCCAGGACGGTCTCGATCCTCTGACCTCGTGATCCGCCCGCCTCGGCCTCCCAAAGTGCTGGGATTACAGGCGTGAGCCACCGCGCCCGGCCGACACCAAGCTTTTCATGAGGAACCCACCCCTATGATGCAAATACCTCCCACCAGGCCCCACTTCCAACATTGCGGATCACATTTCAACATGAGATTTGGAGGGCACAAATATCCAAACTATACCAATGATCAAGACAGAACTCATATTCTTTGATACATTCTTGATTTGTCCATTTATTTTATTAGAAGAATTTTTGAATATGAGAGTACCTTACATAAAGTATGCACTAAATAAACTGAATAAAATTGACAATATGCAATGTCAAAGACAAAACATAATGGCAGTATTATACTATATAGAAATCTACTTAGAGAGTTAAATAATGTAGTATTGTAAATATGTATCTTTTAATACACAATGTCATAAAATGCACGAATACCCATATATTAACCAGACTTTTTCTTAAATGGTCTCACTCTGTTGCGTAAGCTGGAGTGCAGCAGTGTCATCATGGCTCACTGCAGCCTTGACTTCCTGGGCTTGAGAGATCCTCCTACCCCAGCCTCCCAAGTAGCTGGGACTACAGGCACACACAACCAGGCCCAGGTAATTTTTTTTTTCATGGAAACAGGGTCTTGCTACATTGCCCAGGCTGGTCTCAAACTCCTGGGCTCAAGCAATCCTCCCTCCTCAGCCTCAGAAATATTTTGGTTGCAAACAGCTGTAACCACATTCAAGCTAAAGGAATTGGTTTTTTCACACATTGAGATTTAGGAACAATGCCACATCTCTCAGCACTGTTTGCATTTGCTTAGCTTCATTCTCAAGCAGGCCTTTTCCCTATGGTGCCAAGATGGCCTCTGCCATCTCCATCGATCACTTGTTCCAAGTAAAAGCAAGAGAGACCTATCTTGCCCCAATATTGGAATAGTATAATCTCGTAGAGGGTCTATGATCCTAATACGATTCCATGCCTACCCTTGGACTCACAACTAGAGTAAGGAATATAAGGAGCCATGGTTGATGAGATTAGACCTGGTCAATTGCTCATGCTTGTAGTCAGAGGCAGCAGTTTCACAATTAAAAGAGGTTGTTGGATTAAAAAAAATAACAGAGTGTTACTACATTCTTTCTGTGACTTTAACAAAAAGGTAAATGGCCACTGTAGTGGATATTTTGCCCATGGGTGAGACGGAAGTAGGGCTTTGAGTGGTCATAGCAGGTAGAAAATTTTATGGAAAACAATGCCTAATAAAGAAAGAAAGATGTGGAGAAAGCTAGTGCTTTACAGAACTTCCTGGGGTGAAGGAAATCTTCCATACTTATCCAATATGGTAGCAACATATTGAGCACCTGAAATGTGGCTCATGTAACTAAAAAACTATATTTTTAGTTTTGTTTAATTTAAATATATTTACATTTAAATAGCCACAGTGCAGCCTTCCTCATGGTGACTTTGAAGAGTCAGTCTATACGTATCTTTACAATAAAGTCATTGTTCCTTTTAGTCTTTATTAGTCCTTTGAATGATATTATAATTAAACAAAAACCAAAATCCAGCTTTTGAAAAGCTACTATTCCTCATTCTTTCAGAAATTGAACAGAAAATAGCTATAGATACTATGAATATTCTTCAATATTCATTTTTTATTTCAAAAAATCTGGTAAAATGAAAGAGCATATTATAAGTAATTCAAAAATTTGATTATTCCAATGTGATTGTTTCCATTGTACCATGTTGGACAAGCACTGATACAAAAAATTTTAATATAACATGAAAATGAAATCAAACAATAAATTTGCTATAAAATGTGCTTACACTGAATTATAACATCTTTTGTAGTTTTCTTTTCAAATTAAAAATATACGACTAATTTGAATCTCGTGAAATATTATAATCCTTGTCCTGAAAAAAGCAGGCTGACCTTGGGGAAATTTTAATAGTGATAAGATTGAGATAATTGTAACCAGTTACTCTTTAATAACCATCATTTTCTAGATATGTGCTAACCACATGTACGCACATTTCCTTATCTAATTACATTTGAACTTTACAATAACACTTTATCTTAGGATCATTTCATTACAAGAGATAGTTGCCTGTCATTGAAACTAGCTTAAACAAAACAAAAGAAAGAAATCTAGTGGAAGAAATAGGACAGCTGACAGGCCTTGCCTAGGAAGCCTCCTGAATGCTGGCATGAAGGTTTGAGGTCCAGGAACTAATGTTACACTTATTGTTCATTTGTGGCCTCCTGATGTGTCATCTCTGCTTTTACTCCACATAGTTTCTTTGTTCCCCTTATTTTCATTAAACATTCTTTCCTGTTTACTTAAACCTCTGCAGAGAGGGCAGCCTGAATGTTGAAATTCCACCTCATCTTGCAGTTCAGTCACCTCACACCAATTTACTTCCTTGCCTAGGAAGCCTCCTGAATGCTGGCATCAAGGTTTGAGGTCCAGGAACTAATGTTTCACTTATTGTTCATTTGTAGCCTCCTGATGTGTCATCTCTGCTTTTACTCCACATGGTTTCTTTGTTCCCCTTATTTTCATTAAACATTCTTTCCTGTTTACTTAAACCTCTACAGAGAGGGCAGCATCTGCAGCATCTACAATTGAAGGAGGTGATGAACCAGGCAAACGTAATGCCTTGGATCTTGTAGGTCAGAGGTCCACGCCTGGTCCAGTCCTCTCTGCCTGGGGTACAGGGATAGGAATTTTATGCTCAAAACATGGAACCTAGAGAGTGAGGACCACATTCTTTAAGAAGTACCAATAAAAAATGGGTGAGGAATGAGCTTGGTTCAGCCAGTGAATTAGATAACATGATTCTGATTTTAAATTTGAGGAAACAGTCTCAGAGAAGTTCAAATCTTAGTCTGGCTTGTGATCAGACAGACCAAAGTATGAACCCTAACTTATCTTTCAGTATCTGTGAAACTTTTGGAAAGTTACTCACCCTTTCTGAATGTTCAATTATGTTGTTAGAAAGCGAAAATAAAATGCAACCCACATAAAAACGCTTAGCATTTACCCAACTAGAAGCATATAACCCACCTCCCACTTTTTACACCCTGCCCCACAGTCAAAGGCCAAGGGGAGAGATGGCCTTGTCTATGAATGCACTTAGACGGGCTTCAAAAGTGTGGATTACAAACCAAAGAAGGACAGAGCTGCAGAAAGCTGGGTGCCCTGCATGAGAGATTTATAGAGATTTGATGTTTGTTTTTTTACCCTTGAGAGGAAAAAAGCATCAGAAATGAAAATAAGTATATATAAGAGCAAGCTAGCAGTAACATTGATTAACCTCTGTTATTTTCTTTGCTCTGTGTAATGACATCCCTGCCTTTTCCTACAATAGGCAATGAATTTTCCATGCAAGCAAGGTCTTGTTTATTATTTTCTTTTGTTGTCATGTGAAAATCCAACAAATGACATTGTATTCCTCATGTGGAAGTAAGAAGTTTCTAGATGCTGCAAAGAGAAAAAAGAGTTTAGAGAACTTGTCAATTCAGAGTCAGGGAATCTGAAATTCACATAAATGCAGGAGGGCTACTGGGATTTTCCACCAGTGTGGTATTAAACCCATTTTATCTAGATCTTAAAATGCAGAGATAATTCAGCTTATTTCATGATTATGCATAGTAATTAATTAAAGGTAGATAAATACTTATATTAATTAAAGGTAGATAACTGACAGAAGGCAAATTGGAAAGAAAATGGTGTTTGGAGCCACAAAGATCTGGGTTCAAGTTCTACCTCAGCTACATAGAACTATGTAACCTTGGGTATTTTGCTTAAATCATCTGAGACTCAAATTTTTCATTTCTCAAATTGAGATATTAGTATTGATCTCACAGGAGTATAGTAAGCCTTCACTTAATGGCATTGACAGGTTCTTAGAAACTGCAACTTTAGGCTGGGCGTGGTGGCTCATGCCTGTAATCCCAGCACTTTGGGAGGCCAAGGCGGGTGGATCACGAGGTCAGGAGATTAAGACCATCCTGTCTAACATGGTGAAACCCAGTCTCTACTAAAAAAAAAAATACACCAAAAAAAATAAATTAGCCGGGCGTGGTGGCGGGTGCCTGTGGTCCCAGCTACTCGGGAGGCGGAGGCAGGAGAATGGCATGAACCCGGGAGGCGGAGCTTGCAGTGAGCTGAGATCGAGCCACTGCACTCCAGCCGGGGCGACAGAGGGAGACTCTGTCTCAAAAAAAAAAAAAAAAAAAAAAAAGAAACTGCAACTTTAAGTAAAATATTGTACTATATAACAAAACCAATTTTACCATATGCTAATTGATATAAATAAGAGTTAAGTTCCTATGGCATACAGTATGTCTTTTCACTTAAAGTTGCAATTTCAAATAACCTATCAATGACATTAAGTTATGACTTACTATACATGTAATGTGCCTAAGACATTAGGTTTTATGTGAACGTTGAGTGATATTTGATGCCCAGAGCATGGGCCCTGGAGTCAGACTCCCTGGGTGAGCTTTGTAACTATGTGGCCTTGAGACACTTACTCCCTGTATTAGAGTCCTCTGGATAAACAGATTGTGTGTGTATGTGTGAGTGCGTGTGTGTGTGTGTGCGTGCACATGTATGTGCGCGTGCGCATATGTGTGCATGTGTGTGTGTGTGTACACATGCATATATATAAGAAAATTTATGATAAGGAATTGGCTCATGTAATTATGGAGGCTGAGAAGTCCCAAGATGTGCAACTGACAAGCTAGAGACTTGGGAGAGCCAATGGTGTAGTTCCAGTGTGAGTCTGAGGAGCCAATGTTTCAGCTGAGTCTGAAGACAGAAGACACCAATGTCCAAGCTCAAACCGCCAGGCAGGAGGAGTTCTTTCTTATTTGCACAAGAATCAGCCTTTTTGTTCTACTTAACAGACTTTCTGGTGATTAGATGAGGGCCACTCACATTAAGAAGGACAATCTGCTTTAACTAGTCTACTGATTGCAATGTTAATCTCATCAGAAAACACCCTCATGGAAGTACCCAGAAGAATGTTTGATCAAATGTCTGTGCACCCCATGCCCAGTCAAGTAAATGCATAAAATCAACCATCACACCATGTATGAGCCTCACTTACCTCAGGTAAAAGGGCAAAATGATAAAAATAACCTTCCTAGGGAGTTATGAGAACCCAGTAAATCAACAGTTATGTATTTTACAATAGTACCTGGTATATGATAAGCACTATGTGTGGATATGTTGAACTAAATACATAAGTAAAACTGAGGAAAAGGAGCTGCCTCCCAGAGGTGTTCTCCCATCCCTGTTTGTCTCAGGGAATAACTAATTTAGTTTTTTCATCTCATTTAATGTTTGAGTTTCACATTCAGTCAATAATCTTATAAGCTATTTCTTCCCCTAAACATATTATTCTGTTCAGAAAAACTACTTGATTTCATTATAAGTAGAGTAAACAAACAAGCAAAAAAACAAAAAACCAAAAAACCCTTGTTGATTGGCATTCCAAGTGAGAAAAGCAAAAAAAAAAAAGCTGCTTGTTTTTAAAAATTAAAATATCATTGTATTGCCTATTGCCTTTTAGAAATTACATATCTCCAAATAATACAAGTGAAATGGGGAAAAATTAACATAGATTTTTTTCTCTATCATTTGGAATCGGATTTGCAGATGAGTTAACTATATTCTAAATACAGATATCACATAGGACGAAAAGGTTAAAAAAAGGTCTCTGTTCTTTTCTTCCTTAAACATTATGCATCAAAATATTTACATATTTTCAAGATGTGTCTTATCAGATATTCAATCTGTATATATTCATAGTTTTAATGGACTTTCATGGATATCCTTTCCATAAGTGATGATTAAAAATCTCAGCTTAGGTGGTAGTCTGTTTTTACTACACAAGCAGAGCACCGAGTTTATTTAAATCTCCCAGGCACTTGGTCATGGATGTGGCTGAAGGACTATGGCTCAGATGGGTTGTGTAATATCAAGGGACAGAATGGCCAATAAACACTACCTCTTCAACTGGATTGCCCAGGAGGACACGTTGGGACTCATCAAGGAAGCAACAAAACCCAGAGAGAAGAGAGAAGAGTGAGACAGGGCAGCTGCCCACCTGGGATTCGCATGGAGCCAAGGAAGGCTTCTCACCACAGGGAAAGTGTGAGTGGGAAAGAGCCCCCAGGAGCCCATACTCTTGCCATGGATCTCTGCAATCCTGGGCACAGGAGATCCCCTGACCCTCTCTCTCCAGGGCCTCCAGACTGACAGAGCGCTGTGCAGAGTCTGGGCAGAGCTGCCACTCAGGCACATATGGAGCCTCAAGGGCCTTGGGCTCCTGAGCATCCCAGGGTCAGCTGCCATAGCTCTGCCAGCAGGTGAGGCCAGGCCCTCTTGCACGCTCCCAAGATACATGCTGCTTTCACAGTGCTGAGGAGCAGACAGACTATAGGCCTTACCTTCGCCACACCTTGCCAGCCAAAGCCCACGGGCCCAGGTCCCCAGCGCAGCCAACACACCCCTGCCTGAACACTTAGGCTAGTAGTGACTCTGCACTTCCCTGGGCCAGAGCTCCCAGAGTTAACTGACAGTTCCGCCTTTTTGCTGCTGCTGCAGCCCCCACCCCTACTGCCCTGAGGCGGCAGAGGGAGTAAGTGATGAGCCTAAGGACTATCATGTGTCTCCAACGCAGTGCAGCTGCCATGCAGGAAAGCAGCCAGACTATTTCCCCTGTGGATTCCTGCCCCTGCTACTCCTCACTGTGCAGGGCCTCCCAACCTGGACCCCAGCACAGTCATCCTGCCCCCGCCTGAGCACTTCAGTCAGTGGTGGCACTGCTTTTATCTGGAGAGGAAATCCCAGAGATGACCCAAAGGCTCTCTACCATCTCAGCTGCGGGGATATTGCCCTTGCTGCCCTCGGGCTGGGGAAAGAACAAAGATCCTGACTGTTTTGCTGGTACCTCCAGCATGCTGCAGCTGTCCTACAGAGAGGAACCCAGTCTCTTTTCCCTGTGAACCCCTGACCCCCTGCTCTACACCAGGCAGGGCCCCTGGATTGGGCCTGCCATGCAGCCACCCCACCCCCAGCTGATCATTCCCATTGGCAGTAGCTTCATGTATCTCTGGGGTGGAGTTCTCAGAGGCAACTGACGATCCCTCTGACACCACTGCTACAGCGGTGCCTGCTATTGCTGCCACCAGGTTGGGAAAGAACAAAGAACCTGAGTGCCTTATTACACCTCCAGCATACCACAGGCACTCAGGTTCTTTGCTCTTTCCCAAAGAGGCCAGACTGTCTTCCCTGTAAGCCCCCACCCCCTGCTCACCACCAGGCAAGGCCTCCAACTTGGGTGTGTGACATAGCCACTCCACCCCGGGCTGATCATTTTGGTTAGCAGAGGCTCTGCATTTCTCTGGGTTGGAGCTCCAAGAGGTAAGTGTAAGGCCCTCTAACATTGTCACTGCCAAGGTCCCTGCCCCTGCTGCCTGCAAGCTGGGGACTGAACAAAGAGCCTGAGCTGAGCCCTCACTCATTCTATGAGGCCAGCATTATTCTGATACCAAAACCTGCCAGAGAAACAATGGAAAAAGAAAACTTCAGGCCAATATCCCTGATAAACATAGATGCAAAAATCCTCAACAAAAATCCAGCAGCACATCGAAAAGCTAATCTACTAAATCAAGTAGGCGTTATTCCTAGGATATAAGGTTGGTTCAACATACATAAATCCATAAATGTGATTCATTGCATAAGCAGAACTAAAAACAAAAACCACATGATCATCATAGAAAAGTCTTTCAATAACATTCAACATCTTTTCGTGTTTAAAAACCCTCAACAAACTAGGTATTGAAGGTACATAACTCAAAATAATAAGAGCCATCCGTGACAACTCACAGCCAGCATCATACTGAATGGGCAAAATCCAGAAACATTCCCCTTGAGAACTGGAACAAAACAAGGATACCCACTCTCATCACTCCTAGCCATTGTAGTACTGGAAGTCCTAGCAAGAGCAATCAGGTAAGAGAAGGAAATAAAAGGTGTCCAAATAGGAAAAGAGGAAGTCAAACTATCTCTGTTTGCAGATAATATGATTCTATACCTAGAAAATCCCAGTCTCTGACAAAAGGGTCCCAGCTCTGATAAACAACTTCAACAAAGTTCCAGGATAGAAAATCAATGTCCAAAATTCAGTAGCATTTCTATAAACCAATAACATCCAATCTGCTGGAATTTGCTGGAGGTCCACTCCAGACCCTGTTTGCCCAGGTATCACCAGCGGAGGCTGCCGGACAGCAAAGATTGCTGCCTGTTCCTTCCTCTGGAAGCTTTGTCCCAGAGGGGCACCCACCAGATGCCAACCAGAGCTCTCCTGTGTGAGGTGTCTGTCGACCCCTGCTGGGAGGTGTCTCCCAGTCAGGATGTGCAGGGGTCAGGGACTCACTTGAGAAGGCAGTGTGTCCCTTAGCAGGGCTTGAGCGCTGTGGTGGGAGATCCATTGCTCTCTTCAGAGCTGGCAGAGAGGAACGTTTAAGTCTGCTGAAGCTGTGCCTGCAGCTGCCCCTTCCCCCAGGTGCTCTGTCCCAGGGAGATGGGAGTTTTATCTATAAGCCCCTGACTAGGGCTGCTGCCTTTCTTTCAGAGATGCCCTTCCCAGAGAAGAGGAATCTAGAGAGGCAGTCTAGCTACAGTGGCTTTGCTGAGCTGCAGTGGGCTCCACCCAGTTCAAACTTCCTGGCAGCTTTGTTTACACTGTGAGGGGAAAACTGCCTACTCAAACCTCAGTGATGGCTTGAGTAGCCTTCCCCCCACCAAGCTCAAGCATCCCAGATCAACTTCAGACTGCTGTGCTGGCAGTGAAAATTTCAAGCCAGTGGATCTTAGCTTGCTGGGCTCTGTGGGGGTGGGATACTCTGAGCTAGAATACTTGGCTCCCTGGTTTCAGCCCCCTTTCCAGGGGAGTGAACGGTTCTGTTTTGCTGGCATTCTCAGGCACCAATGGGGTATGAAAAAACTCCTGCAGCTAGCTCGGTGTCTGTCCAAATGGCCACCCAGTTTTGTGCTTGAAACCCAGGGCCCTGGTGGTGCAGGCACCCGAGAGAATCTCCTGGTCTGCAGGTTGTGAAGACCATGGGAAAAGCATAGTACGTGGGCTGTAATGCACCATTCCTCATGGCACAGTCCCTCATGGCTTCCCTTGGCTAGGGGAGGGAGTTCCCCAACCCCTTGTACTTCGTGAGTGAGGTGATGCCCCACCCTACTTCAGCTCACCTTCCTTGGGCTGCACCCACTGTCTAACCAGTCCCAATGAGATGAGCTGGTTACCTCAGTTGGAAATGCAGAAATCACCCACCTTCTGCCTTCTGCGTTGATCTCACTGGGAGCTGCAGACCAGAGCTGTTCCTATTTGGCCACCTTGCCAGCCACCCTGACTTGTTTATTTTCGATGCTAACCTGTGGGTTACCAAATATTGGGAAATGGTGTGCTGAGAGGAGAATATAAAGACAAAGTGTGGATCCAGTGCAGAAAATTTTACAGCTTCCTGTGGAATAAGAAAATGTTGGAAGCTTAAGAAACTTTTAATTTACCTAATAAAGCCTTGTATTTTATAGAAGCATGAGGCCCACCCATTTTTGTTTACTCTATATTCATTCAACTACTTTTTTTTCTTTTATTATTATTATACTTTAAGTTTTAGGGTACATGTGCACAACGTGCAGGTTTGTTACATATGTATACATGTGCCATGTTGGTGTGCTGCACCCAGTAACTCATCATTTAGCATTAGGTATATCTCCTAATGCTATCCCTCCCCCATCCCCCAACCCCACAACAGTCCCCGGTGTGTGATGGTCCCCTTCCTGTGTCCATGTGTTTTCATTGTTCAGTTCCCACCTATGAGTAAGAACATGGGGTGTTTGTTTTTTTGTCCTTGCAACAGTTTGCTGAGAACAATGGTTTCCAGCTTCATCCATGTCCCTACAAAGGACATGAACTCATCATTTTTTATGGCTGCATAGTATTCCATGGTGTATATGTGCCACATTTTCTTAATCCAGTCTATCATTGTTGGATATTGGGTTGGTTCCAAGTCTTTGTTATTGTGAATAGTGCCGCAATAAACATACGTGTGTGTGTGTGTGTCTTTATAGCAGCATGATTTATAATCCTTTGGGTATATACCCAGTAATGGGATTGCTGGGTCAAATGGTATTTCTACTACTTTTTATTTTACTGTATATTCATTCAAAAAATGTGGTATGTGATGAGCCACAAAACTTAAACTTTTTCCTGAAAAAATGTAGGAAGTCATTTATTAAAGGCTTTTCAGCAGACTTGGATCAGATTTGGAGTTTATATCATTGCACATCAATATGAAGGAGGAAGCTAGAGGGAAGCATGTCTGGAGGCAGTAAGGACAGTTAACTATTTCCATAATAATTCAAATAAAAAGTGTTAAAGGCCTGGATTTAGGCCATTTCATGGGCAACGGAGAGAGAGGTGGATAGGAGAGCTGTGATAGAAATAGAATCCACAGAGCTAAGAATCTATTCCAACTACAGCCCATTTCCACCTTATAAATTTAAAGTCTAGACTGTGATACCACTCAAAGGCTGGTCTTCTTGAGTGAGTTTCCTACTTCACAGAAAATTATCAGAGTGTGTCTTTAAGAATCAAAATTTATTGACTGCCTTGAGCAATGAAAATCTTACATCAGAGGCAGAATCAAGCATGATCTCAATTGTGATGGTCAACCAGCTGGAGCTAGTAATTTTTTTGTTCTTTTCAGAAACTAATTGTGGTAGGTCCTTTGAACAGCTACTCCAAAAACCTTCACAGTGTTTGAAACAGGGTGTGGAATAGGATAAGGGTGGTGAGAAGAGGCTACTTGGAAGGTGTCTTTCCATTTTTGAGATTGGGTGACAAGGTGTGTGACGATGCTGCTCACAGAGAAAGGGCATTCAGAGGCCAGAGGAAAATCAGAAAAATTTGGGACATGTGAAATTGAAAGTACCTGAGAAACAGTCAACTGGAGCTAACATGAAAGAAATGTTCATATACAGCTTTTCAGCTTAGCAGGAAAGTCTAGTCTACATAGGTTTGTAATTCAAGCATCCAAGTATATGTGATAGTTGAAATCATGCAAGTGAGTTACGTCCAGAAATGTTCAGTGACTTCCTCATGTCTCAAACCATTATAAGAATGAAACTCAGGTCTTCTCTCTTTACCACAATTCTCAATAAGACAAAATATTAGGGCAAAATAAACCTGTGTATGAAGTGTCTGGATCTCTTCAAATTTGGAATCTGATATCAGAAATTGCTACAGCCCTTAATTGCTAACACAGATAGTCCCTCTTTTATGTTTCATAAATGTTCTGCATTTTACCCTATTTCTATTAGATTTGAATTTCACCTTTTTAGTAACTTCACTTTTGAAATGTAACCCTAATGATTTTAGATTTCATAACTAATTGGTTAACATATAGTTGGTATGATCTTTATATTATTTGTTCAGGAAAGTTTCTAAAGCATTTTTCTTTACCAAGTTTTGGAGAAACGGTGTAGAATATGGATGCGGACCACTGGCCTGCATTCTGAATCCAATCAATTTAAAGAGAGCTTCAACCACTGTAAAACTCAATGCATCTACATAAATGGAAATCAATTGAATTGATTTTTGACAGACTTGCTCCACTGCCTTCAATTCAAAATCTGCTTATACATAGTGTTCCAGAACAAAACCATTATCATGTACAACAGAAATACTGTTTTATTAAAAGCATAAAGGTTACAGTTTTGCAAAAGCTTCACTTTACATGAATTTTCAGTGAAATAAAAATGTTTTTAACCACTTATACTATAAATCTGTAATATGCTTGCACTCTGCAAGAGCTAATAAATCTATTAATCCATTGACCTGAAAAAGGTTTAAATGCCCCAAAATTATCAGCATTAATGGTTCTGATTATTTTCTCCATGAATTTGCACTGTGTACAATTATTATCCAAAGTATGTGAAGTGATGATTCTTTATCGAGCTTATATTAAACATGATACATTAAAATATATTAAATGCTAGAGTATCTGTATCATAAAATACATTAAAATACTGTACCAGAATATCTAGAAAGAAAGGACTTATGAAGTAGACCTGCATGCCCTTCTCTCTCATGGCAGAGTTTGCGTGATGCATCAAAGGAAGAAAGAAAGCATATTATCTTGTCTAATTGCCTTGTAAACATTATAATGGCAGCTCTCCTGGCAAACAAAGTATGTGACCTTGGCTAGCAAGAGAGAACTATGAAATACATATAGTAAAATATAGCTGCCTATCTAGAATCACCTGTGTAAATAGACCTGGAATCTTTAGGTTTACAGGGGATGGCTCCAAGGAAAATGTCACATAAACTATGTAACTCAGTAATTCATGACCTAAGTGGCTTCTTCTGTGCAAGATCTGTACCAGAACACATCTCATGTGAGAAGAAATGACCCAATAAGTCACATTGGGGTCCCAGAACACTTTCTGCTTCACTTGTGTCATATAACTGCTTGTGTCATTGCAATTATTAGCAAAACTTGACATTGAGTAAGTACTCTGATTCTATGATTTTCATTTACCAGTCTAATTCTTAATATTATCTTAATGCTTGCATAATATGATATCTGAAATCATCTCAGGTGCTATGAATAGATCATTTTAATTTCATTAATAATAAACCACATTTAAAAAACCCTCAATGATGGGGGTATATCAAAGGAATACAGGAGCCAACAGAAAGAACTCCCAGTGGCCAAAACTAGAACAATTTGTGCAATAAAATAAACAAAGTAGTATTGAATTATATCCCAAAGTATTAAATTATTTTTAATTCTAAATGTATATAAATAATTGCTTAAATAAATAGGGAAGAATATACAGTCCTCTAGATACATATTAGTGAAATGAAAAATTCCAGTCAAAATATAGGGCTGATCTGGGAATAACAAGAAGAGCTAATCCTCTGCATTACTCATAGCAATTTTCTTACAATGCTTTGATAAAATCTAACAGTCACACAACTAGGTACATAAAAATGTTTGACAAAATTGAATATCCACTTATTATGAAAACTCTCAGCAAAGTACAAATAAAGGCAATTTTCTTATCCTGATAAAGCACAAACTGATTCTTAAATTGTATAGGGCATGGTAAAGGGGCAAAAATTCTAAAATAATTTTGAAAATGACAAAGTTAGAGGAATCACACTATCTGATGTTAAGACTTAAGTTACAGTAATCAAGATAGTCATGCAGGTCAATGTAACAGAATAGAGAATCCATAAACTGATGCCCACATATATGGTCAATTGATCTTTGATAAAGATCAAAGAACAGATAGAATTTTCTTTTTAATAAATGGTGCTGGAATAATTTGGCATCTTATGTGAAAAATAAACCTCTACTTATAACTCCCTCTTTATAAAAAATTAAAAATGGATTATAGACATAAATGTAAAATTATAAAACTTTACAAGATAATCTAGGAGAAAATAACCATGACTCTGATTTAGGAAAATATTTCATATATTTTGAAGCTCTGGTGTTTGGTCCATATATGTTTAAAACTGTTATGTCTTCTTGGTGAACTGATTCTATTATCATTATATAACGCCCTTCCTTGTCTCTTATAAGAGTTTTTCACTTAAAGTCTATTTTGGCTGATAGTATAGGCACCCTTCTTTCTTTTTATTACTATTTGCATAGAATATATTTTGCCGTATTTCCACTATCAACCTGTGCTTGTACTTAGGGTTAAAGTGAGTTTATTATAGACAGAATAGAGTTGGATCCTGTGTGGATTTTTTTAAAAAAATCCATTCTGCCAATCTATATCTTTTGGCTGCAGAGTTTAATCTATTTACATTTAAAGGGAAGAACTTACTATTGGCACTCTGCTATTTGTTTTCTGTAGGTTTTATAGCTTTTTATCATTCATTTCCTATGATCACATTTTTCTGAGACTCTGAAGTACACCAGATTATAGGAGCAGAAAACAGATCAGTGGTTTCTAGAGGTTACATATCAGTAGAGAGTGCTTACAAAGGGGATTCCAGGGAGAGTTGTTTTGTGGTGATGAGACTATTCTGTGTTACTGATTGTAGTGGTAGCTACATTACTTCATGCATTTGGTAAAACTTATTGAACTATATACAAAATATAAAAGTGAATTATGCCATGTGATATTGTGATATAATAAAAATTATGTATTTGGTCTCTGTCCCTGATTCCTGAGACAGAGCTTCTAAAACCCTTGCAGATAGGGATGCTAGGAGTATCTTTTGTTCTTATATTTGGTCTTTGACCCTGGTTCTTGACACAGAGCTCCGAAGAACTTTTTAATTTCCTGAGTGATAGGAGTATCTGATACAGAGCTCCTACATCCCCGGAATATCCTGGATTATAGGAGCATCTCTTGCTGTAATGAGGTGACTCTTGGTAGGCTCCTGGATAGCCTTAGAATAGGAGCTGATTGCCATGAAAACCAGCCATGTAATTAGAGGATATGAACTTTTAGCCCCAACCCCTTATTCCCCAGGAAGAGGAAAGGGGCTGAAAATTTAGTTGATTACCAATGGCCAATGAGGTAATCAATCATTTCCACATAATGAAGCTTTCATAAAACCCCAAAATCAGTTTGGAGAGCTTCTGAATTGCTGAACACATGGAGGTACCTGAGGGTGGCATACCAGAGAGGGCACGGAAGCTCCCTACACCTTCTCTCATGCCTTCAGTGATGTCCAAGGGAGGGAATACAGTCATGGGTTCTTAGTTTCTGTTCCCAGTTGGGCCAGTAAAGCCCCTTCCTCCTTCCTCTTTTCTGCTTATCACTATAGACAGAAACTAAAAACCATGGCTTCAGGTTGCTAAAAGTCTAAAGCAAAACAAAACAGGACAGCAACAACAACAACAACAACAACAACAACAACAACAACAACCTCAACAAAATAAGGCAGGTTGGACAAGCTTGCCCTATGCAGCTTCTCCACCTAACTGTTCATTACTTTCCTTAGTAACATCCTTTGTAATAAATGAGTAAATGTAAATAATGTGTTTCCCTGATTTCTGTGAGCCATTCTAGCAAATTAATTGAACCTAAACAGGGGGTAATGGGAACCTCCAATTTATAGCCAGTTGGCCAGAAGTACAGGTCACATTCTGGGACCTGCAATTGGCATCTAAAGTGAAGGGAAGTCCTGTGAGACTGTGCCCTTACTGTGTGGGATCTGACCCTATATCCAAGTAGATAGTGTCAGAATTGAATTCAATAATAGGCCAACCTGGTGGTGTCTGCTGGAGAATTCCTTTGCATGCGGGGAAAAATCCATACATATTTTGGTGACCAGAGGTGAAGTAATGTATTGAGTGGTGAGTGTGTGAGACTAAGAAAAATAGTTTGGTTTTTTTATATCTCAAATATATTATATATAAATTTAAAGACAAATTTAAAAATTGAATCATTTTAAAATGTCTAAAATTTAAAGTACATTGAGTAACCCATGAGAGTAATTTATAATGTTCATATTTGATGAAAATAGTTTCCAGTCAATTATTTTTTTCTGTTTACATTATAGAATTATATTTAGGTTAAATTTTATACATTTAAAAATTATTTCCTTGGTTTATATTCTGAAATTTTTTTCTAGTCCTTCTTAGAGCTGATAAGCATCTTTGCTGATTATCTGCTTGTGTTACTCCATCAGGCTTCCATAGCCCATCTGATTCCACCAGATTATTCAAATGAGCTCCTTATCACACTGTAGCTCAAGCCCTCAGAGATGTTCTTCTCTCCTATACAGACTTGCCACATTTTTTCAGGTGTGTAGGCATTTGCTCATGTCTTAAATGTTCATCTTTATCCATCTGCCTATTCAAATCCATCTACACAATGTATTCTAGGAAGCATATCTTGATTATACTATGCATCATTGACTTCCTCATTTAGATGAGCCTCTATAACATTCGTAGGCTGTATTGCAAAATTCAATGACAAGTATATTTATATTCTCTTGCATTTGTTTCTTGTGTTTCAAGTGTATTAGTCTTGTCTTCTCAGATAGATGGTTAAGGCCATGATTTATATTTTGATGGTTTTCACAGCACCATCTTTGGTAAAATGACTACCGAAAATATATCTTTCATCACCATAGATGCTCAGTGCCATTGGATTAATCTAGAGCTAAGGATACTTGTTTTTATCTGAATCTCAGAGGCTGGGGACAGTTGGTCTCAGAAGTGACATGAATCACTGAAAGTTAAATGTTCCTTAACAGAGGGAGGTTGGAACTCACATATTTGAAAATAGCTCACATCATATACCACAGAAACGTTATGGTTTATTTACATACATATATATGACATATCTCATATATATAAGACATTTTCCAAATGTCTTATTCTTACAGTGATAGATACTTGTTGCTTCAAAGAACATGTACACTATAGAAATATAGAAATTAGCTTAAATTAGTATTGTTACTGATTCACATCATTTTCTCATTTATTGTCATTGAAATTGGCCCCCTGGAAGAATAATCAGTCCACCATCTTGGACCAGCACTTAATTATTATTTAGCAAAATTTAATTGTTATTACCAAAATGTAGGGACAAGTAAAAATATAATTCACTATTATGATAATATTGGTAAATATTCTGATTCAAATGTTTTTCTTGCAATATGCCTCAATTTATCATCATAAAAATAAAAGATCCAAGTTTCCAGATTGAAAATATTTGATATTTGTAAACTATGTACCCAACAAAAAACAAATATCCAGAATTTATAAAGAACTTAAACAAATCAACAGAAAACCCAAATAACCTCATTAAAAAGTGGGCAAAAGGAACAGACATTTCTCAAAAGAAGACATACAAGTGGCCAAGAAGCATATGAAAAAAATGCTCAACATCGTTAATTATCAAAAAGATGCAATGAGATATTATCTCACACCAGTCAGAATGGCTCTTATTAAAAAGTCAAAAAACAACAGATATTGGCATGGCTGTAGAGAAAGGGAATACTTATAAACTGTTGGAGAGAATGTAAATTAATTTGGCTCCTGTGGAAAGCAGTTTGATGATTTCTCAGAGAACTAAAAATAAAACTACTATTTGACCCAGCAATCCCATTACTAGGTAGCTACCCAAAGAAAAATAAATTATTCTTCCAAAAAGACACCTGCACTCATATGTTTATCAAAATACTATTCACAATGGCAAAGACATGGAATCAACCTAGGTTCCCATCAACAATGGACTGGATAAAGAAAATGTGGTACATATATACGGTGGAATACTGCACAGCCATAAAAAGAACAAAATCATGTCCTTTGCAGCAACATGAATGCAGCTGGGGACCACTTCCTAAGCAAATTAAAGCAGAAACAGAAAAACAAACACTGCATATTCTCACTTATAAGTGGGAGCTAAACACTGGAAAATATAGATAGGAACAGTAGACACCGGGGACTCCAAAAATAGGGTGGGAGAAAAGGCAGCAGGGTTTGAATACTACCAATTAGGTACTATGTTTAGTATTGGGTAAGGGAATCAATAGAAGCCCAAACCTTAGCACCATGCAATACACCCATGTAACAAACCCGCACATGTAGCCCCTGAATCTGAAATAAAAGATTTTTAAGAGTAAGAAATAAAATTATTTGAAGGAAACTGACCTATACATTTCTTTACTTGCCTTAAATATCTCTTCTTTGAGGAATCTGATATTTTTTGCGTATAAGTGCTCTTCAGCAATTAGTTGAAAATACAAAACCACATAGTTTGCATGATATATCAATTTGTGTCACTTTTTTTTCAATTCTTTGCAAATAAGCACTCCCCAAATTATTAGAAATCTCAGAAGGAAAATTAATTTATTGCTGCAGCATATATTAGGCAAAGTGGAGAAGTGGAGTATTCCAACTGAACTAAAAAGTATATCAAACCAATTTCTAGCTCCCACTGAAACATTAAAAGAATTAAACATTACAACTTACTACTGTCAATGTAATTTTGTTCACTTCCACTTGTTTTTCTGCAGTTTTTTCAAAAATTTTAACACTGAAAACATTATAAAAATCATATAACTAATTGTATGTTGGTTAAAATATGTTTTATCATAATAACTACTTTCACGTACTAATGTTTGATATGGTTTGGCTCTGTGTCTCCACCCAAGTCTCATATCGAATTGTAATCCACAATGTTGGAGGAGGTGATTGAATCATGGGAGCAGACTTCCCTCTTGCTATTGCTATTCTCATTATAGTGAGTTCTCAAGAGACCTGATGGTTGTAAAAGTGTATAGCACCTCCCAGCTCTCTCTTTCCTACCAGTCATGTGAAGATGTGCCTGTTTCCCCTTTGCATTTCGCCATGATTTTAAGTTTCCTGAGGCCTCCCCAGCAATGCCTCCTGTACAGCCTGTGGAACTGTGAGTCAATGAAACCTCTTTTCTTCATATATTACCAAGTCGTAGGCATGTGTTTATAGCAGTGTGAGAACAGACTAATACAATATTATTATTTCCTCTTGAATTGTGCATTGTCATATTAAAAATTTCAAGCATTGTTCTAGGTGCTGGCAGCAGTGAATTAAACCAAATCCCTGTGCTAAATCCATTTATATTTGATGGGGGAGAGAGAATGCTTGCCAATCTTTCTTCCTAGGTACGTGGCCCTCTTATTCTTGATGCTCTTGTGAACATGTGATGTGGCTCTTTCACTGAGAAATCTCCATGGGGAAGAACTGGGTATTACATAAGGCACTTGTAACATCAGTACAATCTAGGAAAAAGAAATCTTAAGATTTGTTTTAGATTTGAATCCTAAAATTTCCAAAGACATTCTTCTATATTGTGAGTTGTTAGAGTTCTTTAAATTGCACTTTTGACTATAGAAAGTGGATTGCCATGTTAAATTAAAACAAAAATAAAAGATCAGCAATAAATAAACTGAAACTGATTACAACATTTTATTATAGTTGTATTTTTCTGGGAAAGGCAGAATGAACATCAGATCCCCCAAAGGGCCCATTATCTAAAGTGTATAAGGGAGCACTTTTATTGTCTCACATAGTTCAAGTGGAGATATTGGCAATTCCAAATTCATATGTAAAGCCCAGAGTCAGTCTCATACCAAGGTCTGCTCTTAACATGGCAGAGATACTCCATATGCCAGGGTTACTGAGATTTAATACCAGCTCATCATTCTTTTGACTTTTCCAGATGGCAGACTTTTAGCATAGATATTTTTTCTAGATATCTACAATTGTAGCTACATGGAGTAAAGTGCAATTAACTGAAATTACTAGCAATTTTGTCTTTCTGATTTAAAGGCATTTTGTTTATTCTTTTTAAGTACTCCAGGCCCCTGCTCACACTCATTTGTTGAATTCAGTAACTAACCAACTCTTCTGAAAATGGGAATATAAAATTGGAATTCCTCAAAGGTTATGTAAAATAATGTATGAAAAACCTTGTACCACAGAATTTGGCTGTTGACATGCCTTTAATAAATTTTGGGTGTATCTGAGCACATCACTTCATAGTAAGAACATTTCTATTTACAAGCAGTAATGTATCAAGGCTAAAGTTACAAATTTGGTCTATGGTATAAGTCTCATAAAGTTTTTGCCATGTTGAATTTTTTTAAATGATGTTGGTTTTGTCAGTTCATGATAGTTTATTTTTTAAATGTTTTACCAAAATGGTCAAAATATCTTACATTTAAATGTTTATTCTGTTATAAATAGTAGACTTATGGATTTCTTAAATATTTGTTGTAAGCATCTAGTGAGGCAGTCGTAATCCCACTAACTATATACAAACCAAAAAGCCCTTTTTATGTTTAAAACACACACGCTGTGAAGGAAGTTATTCCAAAAACTCTAGACTGTGAACAGACATTAACCTTCTACTTTGACAACATCTAATTTTCCTGAAGAACAATTAAAACCCAGGGAGCCTCAATTAGAAGCACTTTCACTTTGGTAATAAAGGCCAAGTTTTAATGTTTAGGTTTTAGTTGCATTCATTTTTCATACCAATGAACTGCATCATGCTCTTCCTTCAGCACACAAGCTGCAACCAGGCCACAATTTTATCATTTTCATCAGGACCCAAACATATGCCATCTCTACTCAAAGCCCTGCTAATTCCTGGAGGTTTCTTCAGAGAGCTGAGTTGAGGAGAGAATTATTCAGCAAAGGTAACTAACATGGATGCTAATGTATATAATCTGGCTGAGAAATCAGCTTTTCTTCAACAGCTAACTGTGCCTTATTCTTTCTGGTCACTTTCTCCAAGAGGAGCACTGGACTCTGCTAGTGGATCTAAAGTTTTCCCTAGTGTATTTTCCAGCCATATTCTAGAGATGTGCCCCTTCTCCTGAACTGTGTGGTGTGGTGAAGGTGGGGACATGATGAGGACTTAGCTCTCAGAGTTAGCAATGCTGCATGCATCCAGGATCTGCTACTCACTGGGGGACCTTCTACAAGTCACTCAGCCTCTCTGGTCCTGTTTCATTATCTATACAATGAGGAACCCTGTCTACATTCTCTCTAACTATCATATAGCTCCAAAGTTTCTATGAAGCCCAGATGTTCCACTCAAGGAATTTAGTATCTTTACACCTTCATTTTCAAGAAAAAATGAAGCTTCTCCTCCCAAAATATTAGAAACCAGTGCTAAAAGTCTAGAATATTTTAGTGTCTATGAATTTTAAAATCCTGTTTTAATTACAAAATAATAATCAGAAGAGTAGGAAGGAGACAAGTTAATAAACAAGCAAAAGCTTTTTCCCTAACAAATAATCAGCCAAGGAAGAGATGAACATAAGAATTGACATAGTTAATTCTCCTAGAATGAATATAGTGCAGGAGTTACTCCATGATATAGAAAATAAGGTATAACCCCAAGCTGTCATTTGAGGACCAATAAGTCATTGAATGACACTTTGATTCCTAGATGCAAATATTTTAAAGACTTTTTTATTAATACAAAATTGTGGATTGAGGCATCACTGAGAATCCCAAGTAATGAGCATCCACAGCCATGTCTCTCTCAATATGCACCATGCGGGTCTGGGTCCTTCTCAGGGTCCAGGCAGGGTATACTATTTATGCTCCCCTATGTCTGCTCTTCTTCTGCAGGAGGCATTTTTCCCACCTTCATAGCTGTCTCCGTTCTCTTCTACTTTACAGTTTACAGGAAAGCTACTTGCTGTAAGTCAGCCTGTTTTAGCCCTTGAGATGCAAAGAGCTTTGCATGTGAAGCTCTATATGCAAAGCTATGGAATGTGGCACTCCATTTCTCTGTCAGTAAAATCTATCTTGAAAGTCTTTTGTTCAGGACTCAGAAATATGATTTTACAAAATAAAAGTAGAACACTGACTTTAATGGAATAAAATAATATACCAGAAAAAAAAAACTCTCTCTACATTTTATCCCTTTTGCACAAGTAATGCCCAGTGGAGTCAGTCCCCTGCCCCAAGGCCTCACTGATAACTCTTTTCCCCCATTAAGCTTAGCCTTCCTTTCTAAGAAATATCCTCTCCTTAAGCCTAAATCTGAATGCTATTTCAACCAGATTTTACTTTGGTAAAAATTATACCAACAGAGATCCGAGTGCCATTCTCCTCCAAAGTACCACAAAATCCAAGGATAACAAGGAGTGCTTACTACGTGACAGAGGAAGTACTAAGTTCTCTGCTTGTATTGACTCATGTAACCCTCTCAAAAGCCCTATGTGTTAAGTTTCCCATTTAATGAATGGAAAACTGAGTCCTAGAAAGATTAATTGGCTACCTAAGAGCATACAGTTAGAAAGGGTGGATCTGGGATTTCACCAGATGCACATGTGGCTTTGTGAAATCTGACAGGGATGTCAATATCCCGACAGGTAAAGTGAGGTTATAATTTTCTCTTATTTTCTATTCTTTTTCTAAAAATCATGTGCTCAAATCTTACAGGACTGTGTACTCAAGAGGCTAGCTATTATTCTCCACTGCTTTTTAAGCAGCAAAATCTTTTTCATTAAATGACATCTTAAGTAAAAGCTTAATATATACAACATGTCAAACAGGGGTTGCTGTATTAGAGGTGAGGTATGGATGTGCTGGCTGCAGGTGAGGGCAAAGGGCAAAGGGCAAAAGGGCAAAGGGCAAAGCCCGAGTTACCTTCTTCAAGGCAACTCTGCCACAACTTGAAAACATCTTAGGCCTCAGTTTGAAATGCTTCTCCTACTTTCGGGAGTCTTCAGCATCAAAATTTCTCCCAGATAACCTGACAAAACTGTAGAACATCAGACCTGGAATGACTGAAAGACCACCGGGCTCAGTGTTTACCTGAGGTGGGCAAGTGGCTGAGCAGCTCAGGAGTGGGCCCCCTTAGTCTTGTCCCATCTTACTTTGTACTACACTGTTCTTTAGAGAAAGCTTCCTTTTGGAGACCAACCAGGACTCCTTAGAAGCAGAGGTGACAAAGCAAGCTTTCTAAATGATTTGGGGGAAAAGACAAGTCTTCCTTTCACATTTTTGGAAGGAAATACTTTTAATAAGGCAGGGATTCTCCAATGAACTGGTCTAAACCACTGCTTGCGGCCTCATGCCTGGCCTGCTTCACCCACTCAACAGAATCACCTCGTCTCTGAAGGTGGTTGTGTTTGAAACACGTGCTTTATGGAGCAGCTGCTTACAGGCTTAAAAGGGAATCAGAGGTGTCGGTTCAATCAATCTGCCCCCCTGTAAGCTTCATGAGGACAATGACTCTGTCTCCCTGATGCACGTGAACCTAGCACCGGCACCCTGGAGCAGAGCAAGTGCTCAATACTGATCGTGTTTGCTTAATTGATAAGCCATTAGTGTGCGCTCTAATAAACTGCTTTAGAAGAATGCTTTAGGAGTTGGAAGTATAGATCTGCCTAACATACACTTAGAAAAAATTAGGCAGATCTTTTAAATGCTTACATTTTAGTAAGGAAAACAATTGATCATTAGGGTGAACGCTGCATCATTATTTTACAATCTACAAAGTAACAGGAAAGTGTACAGATTTGGCAAACCACAGAATTAACCATTGTATCTGACTTACATTACTCATTTGCTCATGGATGAGATTCTAACAGAGATGCGTTTGGCATTTTCACAAATGCTCTGCGTTTCAAAGAGTAGATCAGCTAATTTTGCGCTGAAACCCTTAAACTTAATGGGGACAATGTATCTCACCTCAAATCTTCAATCAGATGTGCTGATCAAACCCACATGAAGCACATTTATTCTTGGAAAATATTTTCAGTTTTACTATTTACTATTGTAATTCCCATTCATAAAATAGCCAGCATTTGCCATTATATTTTACAGAGACATCTTTAACAACTTTTTACAAGAATGACTGCAATATTTTAGGTTATCAATAAACTGGTGTGGAAAATGCAGCATTATTAAAAGTTAGTCATGGCACTAGTGCATTAATTATACATTAGAACAATTAGCCTTAAAGAGATTATAGATTTATAAATTGTAAATTATGCCAAGTATTTTGAAATTAGGTACCTGTGAGTTATGACCCTGTGTTTTGAAAGAACAACTTGTAACTATATTGCTGATATCTTGATTATAATATTTTATGCCAACATTATGTTAAAATATAATATCCCATTATAAAAGTTCCAGAGACAAGCCACAATATGTAAATATTTCTGTATTTTAATTTACAGAGCTTATTTTTTCATTTGCCCTGATAACTGAATTAACATTGTCAAGGGAAATTCATATGAATCAAAAAATGCAATAAATTAGACCCTTAAAATAATTCATAGTTCATGAGTTGCCCATTTTAAGGTCAAAGTTTTTAGCAAAAGCTCACAACTCTTATGGCACTATCTTTTAGGTACAGTTTAAAACTTTGAATATGCTTTGTTTTCAAGTGTTTATGAATAATTTCTTCAATAATAAAAAAAATCATATACTTTGAAGAAAGGGCCTATCTCATTCTTCTTGCCTGGCCACATGGTCTCATGGGTACAATTCAATATTTTAATAATTTCTACTATTCCTGAGATAGTCAAACAATTTCTCATCATCATCTCACCATCACAATCTTAATGACAAGTCTCAGTTTCTGAGTGTCAGCCAGAGAGCAGATACCAGGAATTGTGCTCTAATCCTCATAACAAAACTTCAAGATCTCTCGGCAAAGAAAAGTCAAACCAAGATTCAAAACCATGGTTGTGGATTCCAAAGCTGAACCCTTTCTGGCCATGATGCCTCCTTTAGCCAAGTGGTAATTCAACAGTTAGCTTTATAATATGTCACAGATAGATGATCCATTAAATAGTTTCTAACACTGTTCTGATTCATCTCTTTTACAATATATTGAGAATAATAGCATTTCCACAAAGGTTATTTCAAATGAAAAGACATTTACTATCTTTGTGCTATCATTTACCCTAAAGAACCTATATTTTTCCAATAATGTAGTTTCCACTCCTGGGAAAGCACAGCTCTTTTATACAAATGGCATGAAATCAGAGGGATGCTGTGCAAATGCTGTGCTTCTCCAAAATGAATTTTTAAGATTGACCCCAAAACTCATCTTCTCCTTTCAATTTACGTAATATCTCTTACAAAACTGCCAAAACCATATTTCAAATTTAAAAAGTCTTGGACAAAGGGAAAAATGCTCTGAAATATCAAATTACATGTACTTTATTTCTTTCACTGTGACGACTCCAAAATATAACCTCAGCTTCAGCTATGATTTCTCTTAAAAATTCTATTAAAATGCAAAGAAATAGTTGGTTGTAGGTGGCAGAGCCTTCTGAGATCCCTCTGGCAGTTTGAAAATATGCCCTTAAGTTCTTTAACACTTATTTAAAAATAGAGTCTAATTTCCCTCTCTTTGAATATGAGCCAGATTTACTGGCTCACTTCTAATGACTGTAATATGGTAGAAATGACACCATGTGACTTCCTCAGCTCAGTTAGGAAAGGCCAGACACCTATGCCTGGCTCCCTTCTGCTCTCCTGGTACACTCACCATTGGATCCATCTACTATGCTGAGAGGAAGCTGAAGAGCCACATGGAAATCCAACAGCTAGTATCAACCACTAGATGTGTGAGTGGATGAGCCTGCAGATGATCCTCGCCCCTGGTCTTTGAGCCATCCCCAAACCATGCGGAGTTATTGCATATTCATAAACAAAATAAATGCTGTCATTTTTTAAGCCACTAAATTTTGGGTGGTTGTTCTGTGGAAATAGATAGTCAGAGCAAGCCCATTCAACCATTTGTTTTGGGGTTCTAAATAGAAAGCATCTTGAATAACGTAGATTAAATAACAGTAAATGCAAATGCAGACACCAAACATATCCTAGAGGAATCTTGGAGAACTTTAGTCTTGCTGCTTTTTATTTTTACATCTCATCAGCAGTACTGACGTTTCATCAGGATCAATGGAGAATTAACAATGGAGTTAATATTTTTTCCCTTTATTAGTTTGGGGAAAAGGTAGATCTCATAATCTGGTGTACTCCTTTTGGAAGCTTTTCATATTATCCTATCCTTTATCACAGGCTCCTCACATTCAGCATGTCCTAAACCAAATATTTTTTCTCCTACCCATTGACTCCTCCCCCTATGATTCTCATCATTATCAATGGAATTTGACTTAGAAATCTATTCCTTTCTCTTCTCCTTCCCTATAGTCAATCATTAAATCTTGTAGATATTATCTCCTATCACTGATCATTTGATATAACTCACCAAGTTTCACTAATAATAATCAAAGTGGTAATACATTTGACAAACTCCAAAAAAAGATAATTTTTTTCTTTTTCTTTTTATATGGGGTCTCGCTCTATCTCTCAGTCTGGAGTGCAATGGCATGATCTTGGCTCATTGCAACTTCTGCCTCTGGGGTTCAAGCGATTCTCCTGACTCAGCATCCCAAGCAGCTGGGACTACAGGCATGCGCCACCACGCCCGGCTAATGTTTTTCGTACTTTTACTAGAGACAGGGTTTCACTATATTGGCTAGGCTGGTCTCAAATTCCTGACCTCAAGCAATCTGCCAGTCTCAGCCTCCCAAAGTGCTGGATTACAGCTGTGAGCCACCATGCCAAGCCAAAGAAAGATAGATTTTTAAAATGTTTCTAATAATAGAGAAAGTAAAGATGCTACGTTAGAACACATTATCTGTTCCCCTTCCCGAAACAGCGAATTATTGTTTCGGTTTGTGAAAATATCCAAATGCACAGTACATAGAAAACTGCAATGACTTCCTTTAATGTGTACTCATAGAAACTCAAGATCAGGAGTGACTTCTCCAAGACCCCACATTCGCCTGCTTCCTTTGCGCCCCTCTCAGGTGCATATTTTCTGTTTTTTTTTTTTTTTTTTCATAACTCTTTTCAGGCATGGTCCCTCCGTTTATATTTTCAAAGACACTTAGCCAGGTTAATATCCTGTCAGTCTTTTCACACACTAGAAGTTAGCCTGTTCATATACGGGCCAATGGATCAGAAAATCAGGGAAGAATCCAAGGAAATCAAATCACCATGTGTAGTTAATAAACTCGTATTTATTGCTTATCTATCAGCAGATGCTTCTAAAAACATCCATGCCCAGGCCCCACCACAGTCCCATTAAATTAGTGTCTGGGGGAAGGGCTCAGGCCTCAGTATGTCCAGAGCTCTCCTGGTGATGCCAGTGAGCAGCCAGGGCCGAGAACCACTAACCAGGGTGTGCCTACTATTACGAAGGTGTTTTCAGAGATACACAGAAAGCACCTCAGATAAATTCTGTAAACATCTCTGTAATTGAAAAAAGTTATAATATGTGAGAGGGAGAACACTAATTCAACTCATTTTTTACTAACTGGACCAATTATTTTACCAAAACAAGTGTATGTTGTAGGCTTTGTCGTAAGGTTTCTGTATTGAAAGAATGTAGAGCATCTGTGAGACGGAATGTGTTTTGGGTTTTGGTGGGTGTGGAGTCTAACCTAACCAATATTTTGAGTAAAATGTTAGAGAATGGAGACACTGATCTTTGTTTAAATCTTATTTTCTCCATTCATTGATGTGCTGGAGATAGCAAGCCACAGCTGATGAGGACCTAATATTGCCCTCGTGAGCACAGACCTTCTGCTGTTTTCTACAACAAAGAAAACAGTATCTCTGCATCATTGTTCAGGCTTCCAGCAGAAAAGGTGCAGGCATGAGTTCAGAGAAGCACTACTAGTGAAGCTGGGGCGCCCCACAGCGCCCCCCGACAGAGGGGTGAGATGATTTGTGGATGCTCTACACTGCGTGACTAAAACATTTGGAGGCTCGCTATTACTTTGCCTTTCATTCCCTTGTAGGAAACTATAGATTCAAATGGGTTGGTATGGCTGGTTAATTTTAATTTATAACTCTATGTTTATTTAAAAATTGGATAAAATTCATGCTGACTGTATTTTATTATATACAAACATATCCATGCTTACTTCCATTTATCCATACAACAAATTCTACTCATAGTATCTATTTAACTCGTACTATTAGAAATGATGAAATAAAATTGTTACTTAAATTTTATTTAAATCTAATAAGATATATTCAGTATTGTTTAGCTCATAATTGTATAGAAATGAATGTATACATTTATATATTTTTTCTTGAATAATCAAGAGGAAAGACATTCTCTGCTATAATATGAAGTGTCAAAGGTGATTGTTGCACCAGGCACGGTGTGGCTCACACCTGTAATCCCAGCACTTCAGGAGGCCGAGGTGGGCGGATCATTGAGATCTGGAGTTGGAGACCACCAGCCTGACGAACATGGTGAAACCCCATCTCTACTAAAAATACAAAAATATTAGCTGGGCGTGGTGGTGCACTCCTGTAATCCCAGCTACTCGGGAGGCTGAGGCAGGAGAATCGCTTGAACCTAGGAGGTGGAGGTTGCAGTGAGCCGAGATCGCACCACTGCACTCCAGCCTGGGCAACAGAGTGAGACTCTGTCTCAAAAAAAAAAAAAAAAAAGATTTCGTATAATGGGCAGCTGCTTTTACCTGGAACGCAATAAATCCTCACATACTTTCTGAAAACTGACTTTGAGATTCTGTCTTAAAAAAAAAAGGTGATTGTTGGGGATATAAATAGTCTATTTGTTCCTATAAAAAAAAAATCTTTCGTAAATCCCCTGGCATATAGGAAAGGTAGAGGAAATGCTGGTGTACCAGGCCTCATGGGTAACTCTCCCATTTCCTCAGGGTGCTCCACCGCCAAGACCCTCTCGGAGAGCCATGAGCGCAATGCTGACTCCCGTTCTGCCCTCGCTGGCCCCCGTGCCAGATCTCCATGCGGCTTCTGGTTGTTTCCATTGCCCGTTCTGATGTGGGAAGTTGCTTATTTCCAACATGGAGGGAAAAAAAGCCCTTATAGCCCCACTATACATTAGGCTTTAATTAGCAATTACCACCCTAATGAAAAGAATCAGCAACACTTTTTACAATGCCCTGAGGTGTTGTTGGTGAGAATTTTTCTTTTAGACTACTACCACAAATACAACTTTTTGACTCAGAGATGTAGTGGTTTTAGAATTTAAGATTTGACTGCCATGCAGTTGATTATCAAATGTACTTACTATATTTAAACACAATCTCAAATTCTGTTTTGTTTTGTTTTGTTTTGAGACCGAGTCTCACTCTGTGGCCCAGGCTGGAGGAGTGCAGTGGCGCTATCTTGGCTCACAGCAACCTCCATCTCCCAGGTTCAAGCGATTCTCCTGCCTCAGCCTCCCAAGTAGCTGGGATTACAGGCGTGAGCCACCATGCCCGGTCCACAATCCCAAATTCTTACTTGGGATATTATATTCAAAGAAATATAAAGTGGCCGAGCGCGGTGGCTCACGCCTGTAATCCCAGCACTCTGGGAGGCTGAGGTGGGCCAATCATGAGGTCAGGAGTTCGAGACCATCCTGACCAACATGGTGAAACTCCATCTCTACTAAAAACACAAAAATTATCCGGGCGTGGTGACACATGCCTGTAATCCCAGCTACTCAGGAGGCTGAGGCAGGAGAATCACTTGAACCGGGAGGCAGAGGTTGCAGTGAGCTTCGACTGTGCCACTGCACCCCAGCCTGGGCGACAGAGCGAGACTGCATCTCAAAAAAAGAAAAAAAAAAGAAAGAAGAAATATAAAGTGATACCTTGTTAAGTAATATTTCCATTATAGTTTCTGTCTGCAACTACATGAAGCCCTCTGTGCCCTTGCAGTAATGGCAACTAAATCCAGCAAACAGAGTCGCATCTTCTATTACCACCATTTCCCCGATGGATTCTTCCAGGCAATGGAGGCACAAGTCAGCTTCATGCCTGGCTGCATATGGAAGAAAGCAATTTTCATAAATCCTCAGCTCCATACAATGGGAAAAGCTCATTTAGTTTCTGAGGTAAATTAATATTTTTTGTCTCACACTTTTTTCTATTTTCTTTTGTTTTTATAATTATCATACAGTAAAATTGACCTTTTTGTGGTGCACATTTCTATAAATTCTAAGACATATATATAACGATCACCACAATAAGATACATTTCTATCACCCTAAAAAAATTCCCACATGCTGCCTCTTTATCAAAGCCTCCCTTATGCCACCAAGCACTGGCAATCACCGATCTATTTTCTATCCCTATAGTTTTATCTTTTGAGAATGTCATATAATGGAATCAATACAGTATGAACTTTTTGAATGACTTTGTTCACTCACCATAACGCCACTGAGATTTATCCAAGTTGTTGCATGAGTCGATAGTTTCAAGAAAATGTCTACTATTTTCCTGCCAAGGGACAGGTTTCCTTGGGCACATCCTAGACTCAAAGAAATCATTAAAAAATTCAATATCTTATTATCTTTATGTCAACTAGATTACCAGACAGAATTTTCTTTGTTAAAGGAATTTCTATTCTTTGTTTCTTAAAGTAACTAATTTTGGCTAAAAAAAAAAAAAAAAAAATCTGCTCCTGGATTTCACAGGATGAAATCTGGCTTAAATGCACTAAATCACCTTGTGACTCCTTAGTTCTCATGACTTCTAAGAGCAAAAGACATTTTCCCTACTGCATGCAGCCAACTCTACAAATATTAAAATCTAGAACCTAATGTAGTGGAATAAATTCATATGAAAGCTACAGAATGCACTGAACTTTCAGCTAATGCAGAGTTCAAATAAGAATTCCCTCTTTAATGTCATAATACAAAACGTTCACATCAGTTAAGTATTGATTACAAACATCTATTTTAACAATTTGGTCCCTGGAAACTACCTTACAGCATGGTTCTTGCAAATGTTACTTCAAATTAAAGTTAAATGTTAAATATTATATATATGGAGAAAGAGAGATTCTTTTTTCAGAAAAATACCCTTCAAACTAATTTTAATGCGAACACCACATTTTAACCAAAAAAATTATCTTCAGTTTTCCATTTATTTGGCATATATGGCAGACAAAAAAACAATCAATTTATTTTTCTAAAGACAGGTATGTTATATGTGTCATGTGTATCGTATGTTAAGTTGATTTTAATAAGTCTGTGTAAAGAAATTTATTGAGATAAGCATTTGGTGAGCATGTGTTTCTTCTTAACTGGTCACTTTCTGTTGGTAAGCGGGTATCTAACTGCAAACGACAACTTTACTATGCAAGGCACCAACCTCACTTGGGAGCTTGTTTGAAATGCAGACTTCCCTACTTACACCTACGTTGACTTGGAATCTGCATTTAACATGATCATAAGGATCTTGCACATTACAATTTGAGAAGCACTGCCCTAAAACATCTTACGAATAAAACCGGAACACTTTCACTGCAAATGTGCTATTTACATTAGCATGACTACTGTGGAAAAAAATCCACTAAGCTTGAATTTTGAACTAGTTGAAAGCAGATTGTGATAATGTAAGACTGTTTTGAGAAATGCAAGCACTAGCTATCCCTTAGCAAATATAAAGATGCCACATGTGGTCTAATGTAATATTAGACCTTCCGTCTTCTCAGGAGGCAGAGCCATTATGTTCCAACCTGAGCCTCTGAGCTACCATTACTTGTTTCTATTCTTAGCCTTCATGAATACAGGTCACTTATTGGGATTATACTATTCTAACAAAAAAAAAATGTGTTTTCCAATGGGAACTACAACAAAAATAGATGAATTCCTTAAGAAACAAATTTTTATTCCTAAACAAATATAATCATATTTGTAAGACATAAGAATAAATGAAAAAAATTAGTAATTAGGTAAAGAGTACATTTATTTTCAAATTCTGTAGTTCCCCTCAAGATACCACTATTGACGTGGTTGCAAAGCATTATTTGCAATTGTTATGTCAAAGTCGTGTTGTGTCTAAAGAAAGACTACCTGACTCTTGTTTCCAAATTGTTCCACTTATACAATTTGTGCTTTTCCTAGTGTCAAAGGCTTTCCAGCCAGAATGATTCCATCTTGAGTGAAGGCTAAGAAAATAAGGCTGGGACTTGCTGGGCTGCATTCATAGAAAGTTAGGCATTCCTAGCCTCTAGATGTTTACTGCTAAGAGAACAGATTGATAATGTTTACTAAACAGGCCCAGACTTGGGATTGTCTTGATATCCTGATATCTTGAGAACAGAAGCATTCCTAATTTTGCTTTAAAGATAATAATATCGATCCTTGCAAAACATAAGAAAATTAATCCTTTATCACAAACCCTTGTAGCATAGCACATCTTCCCATGATCTTTATTTATCCTATATATAAACAAGCGTTGTACCTAGGGTGGACGCGTTCCTCTTCTTCCTTTTGGGAACTCCTGGCTCTGTCTATGGAGTAGCTGTTCTTTCGCCACTTTACTTTCTTAATAAATTTGCTTTTGCTTTGCACCGTGGACTGGCCCTGAATTCTTTCTTTCACGAGATCCAAGAACCCTCTCTTGGGGTCTGTATAGGGACCCCTTTCTTGTAACACTAGCAAGGAAGTCCCTTCCAGAGAGCTCTCTCTGGTTTAGCAGCACACTTATATTGGTGCAGGATGGGAACATTCCATAAAGACATATTCACATTTGTTCAAAGTCTTCTGCATCAACTACCCCCAGACTTTGATGTATTCTGCCTTTAAAATCACGCTATGTCCCAGTCACTTTTTGTTGCCTTCCCTTCCAATCCAGTTGAGGAATCCCTCCGGGAAAGTAAAATCTGTCTACTTGTGCTCTCCGTCCACCTCCTGGCATCTCCTGTCAACTATTTCCCTACTCTCTTGTTCTTTCAATAATTCCCATCCTACTGGAACTTTCTATCAACGTTTCAAATTGTTATCTAAATGTCACTTATCTGAAAACAAATAAATCGCCTTTCTTTTTCTTTCTTTTTTTTTTTTTTTTTTGAGACGGAGTCTCGCTCTGTCGCCCAGGCCGGACTGCGGACTGCAGTGGCGCAATCTCGGCTCACTGCAAGCTCCGCTTCCCGGGTTCACGCCATTCTCCTGCCTCAGCCTCCCGAGTAGCTGGGACTACAGGCGCCCGCCACCGCGCCCGGCTAACGCCTTTCATGACTCTATTTCAAACTTTTTTTTTTTTTTTTTGAGACGGTCGGAGTCTTGCTCAGTCACCCAGGCTGGAGTGCAGTGGTGTGATCGTGGCTCACTGCAAGCTCCGCCTCCTGGGTTCACGCCATTCTCCTGCCTCAGCCTCCGGAGTAGCTGGGACTACAGGCACCTGCCACCACGCCCGGCTAATTTTTTTTTTTTTTTTTTTTTTTGTATTTTTAGTAGAGACGGGGTTTCACCATGTTAGTCAGGATGGTCTCAATCTCCTGACCTCGTGATCCACCCACCTCGGCCTCCCAAAGTGCTGGGATTACAGGCGTGAACCACTGCACCCAGCCGACCCTATTTCAATCTTTTTAGCTTTCACTGAATGTTTCTCTACCTGTCCGTGAATGAATGGTCTCCCTTTATTTTCCATTTGTCTTTCACATATTCCAACTTAACATTTATTTCCACAACTGACATTTATTTGATAAAGGTCCTTTGAATACATTTTAGCTCTAATATGCCTACTCTGTCTTTAATGTGTGACAATTTCACTAATGGAAATACAATCATATGTGCCCTGTAAATCTCCCAAGTTGTCTCAATTCTCCAAAGAATTACATCATGTCTGTCCACACCCACCAAACAGAAAACTGAAAAGTGACCAGTTCAGCTTCAGGCTAGTGTTTTTTCATTCCACCAAAGCCACATTATATTTAATTAACGAAACTAATGCCTATAAAGTTAACAATAAAGGAATATAACACATATACCTGAATATACCTCTATTCAAAATTATTTTCCAAGAATGAATAAATGTTCACATTTTATTAGAGAAAATGAAACAATCATAATATCTGAGATTTATTTCAAAACTCTTTTTTTTACTGACACATGTTCTTGTCCACAGGCCAATGGAAACAGACATGTGTAGCATTATTTAGATGATCAACTGCATTAATTCTTCATATATTAGTCATTGACAATAGACCTACAAAGAGAGTATTTCTCATCCTTGATATAAATTACAGTTTTCATCATTGAATTTACTTACTCAACAGTTTTTAGACACATGTGCTTGTGGACTTATATGGAATTCCTGAGGTTGAACTTGCTGTGTGATAAATCTTCTAGCTTTAAATACAGAGTCTGTTTAAACAGGGTGAGTTGTAAATTATCTGACAAGGAAATGGATTTTATGTGGAAAATGCACATTTTCTCACAGGCAGGGCCCATGAAACTCATGGTTTGAATATTTTCAGATAGCAGAGCCTTTGACAAGTAAAAGAAACAAGACTATTGTAAACACTGAGCTTATTCGAAAAGCATTTTTTTAAAATTTCCAAGCTTATCAGATTATGTCTATATAAAACTAACATTTTTGTGAATTTCCAAGTATGTATTTGGCTCATTCATTGTTTCTTTTTGTCCACAGATGTACACATTTTTATAATGATTACAACAAAATAATTTAAACCATCCAGTAGGTGAAGCATTCCCCTTTTCCCAAGACAGTTGGATAAAATTGAATCAAAATTTAATTCCATGTCTGAAGGAAGTTTAACACCCTCCTCGGAAGTCTTGAAGCCTCCCAGGTACGACTGAGTAAAGCAGATTGCTCTCCACATTGTAGGTGGACCTCATATCGTTCCTTGAAGGCCTGAATGGAATGAAAGTTTGAGTAATAAATAATTGTTTCTCTATGATAGTCTTTGAACAGGATATCAGTGTCCTTCTGCCTTTGGACTCAGACTGGGACTGGAACTTACACCATCAGCTTTCCTGGTATTCAGGCCTTTGGAATTGGGGTGGACCTACATTACCAACTTCCCTGGGTCTCTAGCTTGCCAACTGCAAATTTTGGACTCCTCAGTCTCTGTAATCACATAAACCAATTTCTTACAATAAATGTACCTATGTGTCCACATATCCATCTAAGCATCTAGTGGGTTCTGGGTTTTTTTCTTTTGGAAGGTACGTGACTAATACAGATTAGTACTGAGATTAGCGTGATTTAGTACTAACAGTGGTTCTAGAGAAACAAAATTTTAAGAATAAATTTCTTGAATTTGTTCTGAAGTTTCCAGAATTGGCTTTCTAATCTGATTAGAATTAAAGATGCTAGTGGTTCTGTTTCCAGTGGTAAAGAAAGCACTCACAGTACCTGGCGTGATTTGGCAATAGAAATATGCAAAATATCACCCTTGGATAGTCCTAATCAACTACTTACAAAAAGCATGGATATGGATGACTGTGTATATGGTACTTTCAAACATTTCCGACAAGCTATTGAATATAACAGTTCAGGACTGATTGTTCCTAATGGTGCTGGACAAAGTATAGAAAGAGAAAGATGAGCTTAACGATTAAAATTCCCAGCTCAAATGCTACCTAAATGATCTGAAAGCTTCTATGTGTGCCCTGAAGGAGACATTTATCTCCTGTAATTTCAGGTCTAAGATTGCTGAAAATGAAGCCCAGAAACTCATCCTGTGACTGGCTGAATTACAATGTAAGTTTGAACTCCCAGCCTTGTAGAGTATTTATGGGGAAAGTGAGGGCATTGATTGGGAAGGAATGGAATCTGAATATTGGAGTGGGGATGTGATGTGAGGGAAGACCTGGATGAAGCTGGAAACACTGAACCACTAAGTTCTTTTCTGCTGGAAGATGTCTCCCCAGCCCCAGGGGGAGCAGCCTCTCTACCCCCATTTGAAGAGAGTAACCTCTTAGTGACTGATGAAATTTTAGTGGCCTCCCCTGAGGAAGCTGCCATCAAGAAAATGCTGAATATTCTCAGGAACCATGTCTACCATCTTTCTTTGCTTCTGGATCTAGAACTAGACTCATCTCAGCGGGCCCCTAAAGGTGAGGTATAAAGTGTGGCCCATGAGGAGGTGTGCTACACTCTACAATAATTGTTTGAGTTTTTAAAATTATACAGACAGAAACCTAGGAAACATGTGAGAATGGATATTAAGTGTGAGAGATATTGGTGGAGGAACACCAACTTACCTCAGGCTGAAATTACTTTTACTAAGCATAGATTATACAGTTAATGTGCGTCTCAGGAGTCAGAAAGGGCTCTAACACTTTCTGTGGTTGACTAAAGCCTAGACCAAAAGGTGGCCTACAGTGAGTAAGTTGGAAATGCCAGACCTGCCTTGGTTGAATGTATAGATACCCCTCTAGTTACTATAAGGTTACATCCCAATAAAGCTACCATAACTTGAAAATATTGCAAGTCAAACTGCATTTAATACACTTAACCTACCAAACATCATAGCTTAGCCTATCCTACTTTAAACATGCTCAGAACACTTACTTTATTCTATAGTTGAGCAAAATCACCTAACACAAAGCCTATTTTATAATAAAGTAATGAATAGCTGACCTAATTTATTGAATACCATACTGAAAGTGAAAAACAGAATACTTGTATGGGTACTAACCATTAATGTACACAGCTGAAAGTGCGCGGAGCCTGAAGAAAATTTGAAACATTGAACTAAAATTAATTGCTGGCTGATGGAGAGGTTATAGTGACAGGGTCATTGGTTTCTCTCTCTTCTGATGAAGCTTGAGAATGCAAAATGATACAATGGACTTTGGGGACTTGGGGGGAAAAGTGGGAGGGGGGCAAGGGATGAAAGACTACAAATATGGTACAGTGTACACTGCTTGGGTGATGTGTGCACCAACATCTCACGAATCACCACTAAGGAACTTACTCATGTAACCAAATACCACCTGTACCCCCAATAACTTATGAAAAATAAGAAAAAATTAAAACATTAAAAGTATAAAAAATAAAAACCACTGGCAACACAGCACACTCACAGTACGCAGCTGAGTATTGGTCATTTACCCTTGTGATGGTGTGGGTGGCTGGGATCTGTGGCTCCCTGCAGCTGCCCAGCATTGCAACAGAGTGTCATACAGCAGATCTAACCTGGGAAAAGATCAAGATTCAAAATTCAAAGTGTGGTTTCTACTAAATGTGCATCACTTTCACACCATTGCAACAGGAACCATCTTAAAGGGGACCATCTGTAGAGGAAAGCATTCAAAGGCTTAGGGAGATCGGAATGTTAGAATAGATTTGCCATTTCAGATCTAACCACCCTCATTGGGAGAAAACAGAAGATGTACTTCTTTTCACTGCTATTGTGAGAAATCAATTTGTAAGGAGAGCCTAAGTGTCTCTGAAGAGCTTTGTGATTGCCAGACCTTACAGTGGAGAATGCAGTCACTGTTTGGAAAATCTAGACAATGGGAGTAATTGGATCCCAGGATGGCAGGAGCCAAGGGGTGGTACCAAAGTGAGAGTGGGTGTGGTTCCTGTAAGGGAGGCAGACTCAAGACAGCAATCAGAATCATCTCACTTGTGCATATTTATGGTGTTGGTTAGTTGAGCATGATGGTTCTAGAGGTGAAATACTCTGGAAGACTACTAAATTCTTACTTTCTCTGTATACATAAGGCTGTTCTTGCATTGCTATAAAGAAATAGTTGAGACTGGGTAATTTATAAGGAAAGAAGTTTAATTAGCTCATGGTTCTACAAGGAAGCATTAGCACTGACATCTGTTTCTGGGGAGGCCTCAGGATCATGGTGGAAGGCAAAGCAGGAGCTTCCATGTCACATGGTGAAAGCTGGAGCAAAAGAGAGAGAGTTAGGTGCCACACTTTTAAACAGCCAGATCTCATGAGAAGGCACCCACTGTCATGAGAACAGCACCAAGGGAATGGTGCCAAACCATTCATGAGAACTCCACCCCCATGATCCAGTCATCTTCCACCAGGCCCCACCTCCAATACTGGGGATTACAGTTCAACCTGAGATTTGGCTGGGGATATATATCCAAACTGTATCACTGGGTAAGCAGAAAATTCCTAGGTCAAGTGAATATAAGTTTAACCTAGGCCAGAGTCACAACTCCTCAATCAATTCCCATATTAGAGCCAGTTTATAGCCCCAGAACCCCCTGGAGGGGAGGCCAAGTACTCTTGAGGAAGGAGCACCATACACTGCAAAAATAATTACACTGTTAAACTTCCTCACAACTTCCCCAAAAGTAAGGTACCATTTAGCAGGGTAACTATGCAACGGGGAAAAGGAAATAATCAGACCTATTAGAAACTACTGGACACTGGCCCTGAACTGACACTAATTCCAGGAGACCTAAACCCCCTCTGTGGGTCACCAGTCAAAGTAAGGACTTATGGAGATCAGGTGATTCAGGGAGTTTTATCCCATGTCTGTCTCACAGTGGTCCCAGTGAGTCCCGAAATCCATCCTGTGGTTATTTCTTGTTTCCAGAATGCATGATTAGAATAGATATACTCAGAAGCTGGAAGAACCCTACATTGGTTCCTTAACTTGTGTAAGGGACAAGGGTTATTATGGTGAGATAGGCTAAATGGAAGCCGCTAGAACTGTCTCTGCCTTGGAAAGTAGTAAATCAAAGTTAGTACTGCATTCCTGGAGAGGTTGCAAACATTAATGCTACCATTAAGGTTTTGAAATATGCAAGGGTGGTGATTCCCACCACATCCCCCATTCAATTCACCTATTTGAACTGTGCAGAAAACAAATGAATTTTGGAGAATGACAGATTACAGTAAGCTTAACTAGATAGTAACTCCAATTGCAGCTGCTGTATCAGATGTGGTTTCATTGAATAAATTAACACATCCTCTGATATGCAGCCATTGACATGACAAATGCTTTTTTTCCTCTGTATCTGTTCATAAGTCTCATTACAAGCAATTTTCTTTCAGCAGACAAGGCCAGCAATCCATCTTCGCTATCCTGCCTCACAGATATGTCAACTTTCTAGGCCGATGTTAAAATTTAGTTGGCAGGGATCTTGATTACCTTTTACTTCCACAAGATATTACTGGTCCGTTACACTGATGGCATTACTGGTAAGACATACATGTCAGGGAGTGGTTAATAAATCCAACTAAAATGCTGGGGCCTTCTACCTCAGTACAATTTCGAGAGGTCTAGTGATGTTGGGCACATCAAGATATTCCTTTTAAGGTGATGTTGCTTCTGGTCTCTCCTACAACGAAAAAAAGAGACTCAACACTCTGTGGACCTCTTTGGATTTTGGAGGCATCATACTCCTCATTTGCGTGTGTTACTCTGACCCATCTACTGAGTGACCTAGAAAACTGCTGCTTTTGAGTGGGACCCAGAATAAGAGAAGGCTCTGTAGCAGTCCAGGCTGCTGTGCAAGCTTCTCTGCTGCTTGGGCCGTATGATCTAGCAGATCCAATGGTGCTTGAAGTGCCAGTGGCAGATAGGATGGTGTTTGGAGACTTTGACAAGCCCTATAAGTGAGTAACAGCACAGGGCCTTAGAATATTGGAGCAAAGTCCTGCCATCTTCTGTGAATAACTCCTCTCCTTTTGAGAAACAACTCTTGGCCTGCTACTAGACCTTAGTAGATACAGAACTCGTAACCCTGGGCCACCAAGTTGCCATGTGATCTGAGCTGCATGTGATGAGCTGGGTGTTATCTGATTCACCAAGCTATGAAGCTAGGCATGCAGAGGAGCACTCCAGCATTTAATGGAAGTGGTATACACATGATTAGGTCTGAGCAGGCTCTGAGGCACAAGTAAGTTACATGAAAAAGTGACCCAAAAGCCCATGGTCCCCACATCTGCTACACTGACCTTTCTCTCGCAGCCTGCACTTATGGTCCCATGGGGAGCTCCCCATTATCAGTTGACTAAAGAAGAGAAGACTTGGGCCTGGATTACAGAGGGTTTTGCATAATATTCAGGAATCATCTGAAAGTGGATAGCTACAGCACTGTAGCCCCTCTCTGGGACATCCCTGGACAGTGGTGAAGAGAAGTTGTCCCAGTGGACTCAACTTCAAATAGTGCACCAGGTTGTTCACTTTGCTTGGAAAGAACAAATGGCATAATGTGTAAACATAATTAGAAGATTGGTGACAAGGAAACCTGGGAAAGAGGTATGTGTGGGTGGACCTCTCTGAATGAGTGACAAAACCATGGTGATATTTGTGTCCCATGTGGATGCTCACCAAAGGATGACCTCAGCAGAGAAGAATTTTAAAAATCAAGTGGATAGGATGACCCATTCTGTGGATACCTATCAGCCTCTTTTGCCAGCCACTTCTGTCATCTCCCAGTAGACTTAGGAACAAAGTATCCATAGTGGCAGGATGGAGACTTAGCCTACATGGACTCCCACTCACCAAGGTCAACCTGGCCATGGCCACTGTGACGGTCCAGTATGCTTGCAACGCAGACCAACTCTGAATCCTTGATATGCACCTGGGGTAATAAGCCAGCTACCTGGTGACAGATTGATTACATTGGGCCACTTTCATCATGGAAAGGGCAGTGTTTTATTCTTACTGGAACAGACACTCTGGATATAGAATTGCCTTCCCTACATGCAATGTTTCTACCCAAGCTACCATCCATGGGCTTACAGAATGCTTTAACCACAGTCATTGTTTTCCATACAGCAGTGCTTCTGATCAGGGAATTCAGTTAACAGGAAAAGAAGTGCAGCAATGGGTCCATGTTCATGGAATTCATCGACTTTACTATGTTTCCTACCATCCTGAAGTAGCTGGTTTGGTAGAATGATGGAATGGCCTTTTGCAGACTCAGTTACAGTGTCAGCCAGGTGGCAGTACTGAGCTGGGGAAAGATTCCTCAGGAGTCTGCATGCTTTAAATCAGCATCGAAAATATGATGCTGTTTCTCCAAAAGGCAGAATTCACAGGTCCAGGAATCAAGGGAAGAAAGTGGGAGTGGTCTCACTCACCGTTATTCCTAGTGACCTACTAGCAAAATGTTTGCCTCTTGATCCTACAACTTTATGATCTGCTGGCCTAGAAGTCTGTTTCAAATGAAGGATTGCTTCCACCAAGAGACACAACAATGCCTTTATAGAACTGGAAATTAAAACTGTTACCCAGTGGCTTTGGATTCCTCATGCCTGTAAATCAACAGGCAAGGAAGAGAGTTACTGGGCTAGTTCTGGTTATTGATCTTAACTGGCAAGGGGAACTTGGACTCGTACTTCCAAATGGAGATAAGGAAGGGTGTGTCTGCAATATATATACCCTTAGGGTGTCCTTGGGATTATAATATTCTGTAATTATGGTCAATGGAAAATGACAACCACCTAATCCAGGCAGGACAACTAATGGCCCAGACCCTTCAGGAATGAAGCCTTGGGTCATCCCAACAAGGAAATAATCACGACCAGCTGAGGTGCTTAGTGGAAGAAGTGAGGTGCTTAGTGGAAGAAGGTAGCTATAAATACCAGCTATGACCACATGACCAGTTACAGAAATCAAGATTGAAATTGTTATCAGCATTTCCTCCTTTTTTGTTATGAATACATACAAATGTGTGTGGGTGCATTAAGCAAATATTATTGTTTTTCTGCTGTCTTATTCCCTTATAAGGGATGTATTGACTATATCATTGCATTTAAGTGTTGTTGATTTTATATTATAACATTTAAGTTGCAGGATATCAAGGAGAAAAATAAACACCATTCGAGGATTATACCTCCTTTTCTGGGGAAGGGGTAGGTGTGTCTTCAGTGGTACATGGGATGATGATATATTAGACAGAAGCATGGCCTTGCTATTTTCTTTATTTGGAGATTAAGTATAGTTTAAGGAGATGTGTATGGATGCCAAGTTGACAAGAGGTGGACTTGCGATGAATAATTTCATGTGGAAATTTGACTATGTCATGAGGTGCCCAGATGTTTGATGAAACATTATCCCAGCTATGTCTGTGATGGTGCTTTTGGATGAAATTAACATTTGAATCAGTAGACTGAGTAAAGCGAGCTTCTCTCCCTAATGTGAGTAGTCCTTACTCCATCAGTTGAAGGCCTGAATAGAACTAAAATTACTCTGACCTTCCAGTAAGAAAGAGAAAACTCCTGCCTGACTGTTTGAACTGGGTCATGACTTTTTTCTTGTCTTCAGACTAAACTGAAATATTGGCTCTTCTTGGATTTTGAGCCTGCCAGTTTTCAGACTGGAACTTCCACCATTGACTCTCGTGGTGCTCAGGCCTTCAGACTCAGACTGGAACTCTCCCATTGGCTCTCCTGGGTCTCCAGCTTGCCAACTGCGAACTTGACTTCTCAGCCTCCAGAATTACATAAGCTAATTACCTATAGTAAGTCTTTCTCACTCTCCCTCTGTCTCTGCTATTGGTTCTGTTTCTCAGGATATTCCAGATAGTACAGTCACCTCTGGCTGAGAATTCCAACTTCTTCACTTTATAGATTATTCTTTCTCTATGATTCAAACATCCTATCTCATAAATAAGATTTATTTTCTCCCTCAATTTTCACCAAAAAAAGACACATATACATGTAACCCATTAGTTTATTTTCAATAACCTTACAGAAGATATGGAGGTGTAACAAAAATTACTGTAAACATAAGCCTTATATTCTTTCTTTTTGTTTTGTTTTGTTTTGTTTTGTTTGAGATGGAGTTTCACTCTTGTTGCCCAGGCTGGAGTGCAGTGGCGCAATCTTGGCTCACCACAACCTCCACCTCCCGGGTTGAAGCTATTCTCCTGCCTCAGCCTCCTGAGTAGCCGGGATTACAAGCATGTGCCATTACATCTGGCTAATTTTGTATTTTTAGTAGAGATGGGTTTCTCCACGTTGGTCAGGCTGGTCTCGAACTCCCGACCTCAGGTGATCCACCCGCCTTGGCCTCCCAAAGTGCCGGGATTACAGGTGTGAGCCACTGCACCCAGGCCAAGCCTTATATTCTTTAAAAGTTAATTCCCCACTGCTTGGCCAGCTAATTCCCTCTGAGCTTCTCTAGCATGATCCTGGCTCTCCTTCCTGCATCTCCCTCCTTCCCGCATCTCCCTCCTTCCCCTCCCTTCTCTTCTGTCTTTTCTCTTCTCAGGAGCAAAAACTAAATTGGTCTCCTTTTCTCACACAAGATAGTTTTGGTGCCCCCTTTGCTGCTTTAACTCCTGCCAATGGGCATAACTTTGAAGTTTCAATTTTATCCCAAGCAGCTCATCAAACTAGTACTTCAACATTAGGAATTCTTCTGTAATAGGAATTCTAGTGCCAGCTATTCAAGTTATAAACATCTCAATCTGTCACAATCAAAATAACTGCCATTGACTGAGAACTCATGCTCCAATCACTGTTATGATGTGCTTCACTGACATTCTCTCATGTTCTTACAGAAACACCACATAGTCATGCTTTTTCTAACTGTGGCAGATGCTGCTGTGTTTCTAATCAATATCCATTTTCTTCTTCTTTTAAATTAAAGGGTGCTGCTCCATTCAGTCCCACTTTACTAGGCCTCTGCATTGCACCCCCGCATACTATTGTTGGTAGCTAAGGGCTCACAAGTGCCCTGTTCTCTCCTGAGCACTTCTTCAGACTTAAGGGAGCTGCCTCGCCTGGACAACCTGTAGCCAGTGACTGACTGACACATGGTATAAAGGGCTATTCCTCTAGCCTCAACGTCAGGCCAACTCTGTAATGCAATCCATGCTCCAAAACTCTGGGTGTCAGGCTGAGCCAGTCTTGTGCTGAGATCATCCTGGCTTAGGTAGATCTCATCTTTGTCTCACCCTACTTACTATTCCCCTCTCATAAGGTTATTCTCTCAAGAAAAGTTGCTCAATAATTGCTATTGCAGGCTCTGCTTCTAGAGAGCCCTACCTGACAGATTGACTGTGCTGCAGAAAAAGCAATGAAGGCCATTAACAGAAGGAAACCAATTAGGGTATCACTGGAGCCTGGTTGAGTGGCGACCTAACAAGAGCTCACTCCAAAATGGTAGCAGTGGACACAGACAGGAGTTGGATCAACCAGTTCATTTGTTTTCCATAATCATATTTTATTTTCCTTGTAGCAATTATCACTCTCTGCTATTATAGCATTTTGTGTCTTTTAAAGTTTCTTTGTTTTTTGTTTTTGAGATGGAGTCTTGCTGTGTTGACTAGGCTGGAGTGCAGTGGCATGATCTCCACTCACTGCAACCTCTGCCTCCCAGGTTCAAGTGAGTCTCCTGCCTCAGCCTCCCAAGTAGCTGGGATTACAGGCACGTGCCACCACACCCGGCTAATTTTTTTAGGGGCGGGTATGTCTAGTCCAGACAGGGTTTCACCATTTTGCCCAGGCTGGTCTCAAACTCCTGACCTCAAGCAATCCACCCACTTCTCCCTCCCAAAGTGTTAGGATTACAGGCATGAGTCACCACGCCTGGTCTCCTTTAAAGTATTTTTAAATATTTACCTTGTTAAAAGTTTTTATCTTCCTTTAAAGAGATATAAGAATGAGGGCCTTTCTTAGGTACTATCATATTCTTTCTGCCCCTAAAACAGTGCTGGCAGACAATTCATGCAAAATACATATTTGTAAATAAGTGAATGAAAAATGAATGGAAGAAAAGTGATTGAGATTAGCTTGAGGCCTATGTGGGATTGAGGGAGCTGATTAGGTTATAAGTTGAGAGAGATCTAGAAATATCAAAAGAACTCTGGAGAATGATCTGTTTGGTATAATAAATTATATACTGGGAACTCAGGAGAGATACTATAAGGCCTAAGACGGTATTTGGGTGACTAAGCCCTTCACTTTAAAAGCTCAGTGTAGTACTTTATGCAAAACCTTGAAACTTACCGTATTTCTTTTTGGCATTTTGGGTGATGCTTAAGAATGTTAAATAATGAAAGACTCTTTGTGTTACCTGTACTGTGTGTGTATTAGAATTGTAACCTATTTCAGTTTTCGTCTCATCACCAACAAGCTTTTCAAAGTAGTAGAAACTACTTTTTCAGAAGGTGAAGTAATGCTGTTTTGTCCAGTGGGTGATTACTTGCTGTGAATACTTAGTGATCATCTGGTTTGGAAACATGCGTAGGTGTGTATAATAAATGAGACCGCTACTACCTGTTAATTGTACTTTATAATTGCAGTTTATCTCCTCTGTACACCTGCAGAGTCCTGGCTCATATCACAGAGAAAAGGTCGTTACTGTGGCTTGACTGAGAGAGCTCATTTATTAAAGCTCTAAGGGGTTGTATTATCAACTTCATCTCATGTCTTTCTACATTATCTAATATTCTCCATTCAGATGTACACAAAAAATATCCATCTTTTAATGCGTAACTGATGTACATATATGCTGTTATCGTTATTGTTAAAGAACTTTAGTTATTTAAAGTTAGTAAATTAAAGTTATTGTTATGGTTATGCTGTTAAGTTATTGATGGTTAAATCAATAACTTTTAGGCAACAAATTGGTTGATCGCTTATTGTTGATTTTAGGCAGTTGCCAAGCAATATTAATGTCCTAACATTAAGATTAATGGAGTGTATCATTCATTGACTTGATCATTTCCCTCCCATTTCTATTGCCCTGTCCCTTGGGGTGCTGGCATTGGGTTCGTATGTGTGCAATCGAATCTTTTCCGTGGCAGATGCTGAGGAGCAAGTCCTGACAGTGAATAGCCATGTGTTTAGTCAGCTGTTTACACAGGCTGAAGGAAATGAGAATTTTATGGAAAGTTGATAAGACATCTCACTACTTTCAAATTCATTTTAGAAAAGTATAGTATGAGAAGAAGAGCTTCGACAAATATTGTGTCTAAAAAGCTAAAAACATCCTGATCTTCGTAACCGAGTGGCTAACAAATAAACTAAAGAAACTCACACAACGCTCAGTTAAAGGAGTCAAAATAAACTGTCATAGAATACACATCATGATGAGGTCTTATTTAGCAATATTATATTCCCTTTAACTGCATTTGTAATGTTGACTTAAATGGGAGAATACTGCATTCCTTTGCCTTTTCCTCTCTCTGAAGGTTTTGAGAGAAGAAACAGAAGAAGTTGTAGAAAATCAACTCTGCTTCCTTTTACTAATTGTGAATATAAGCTCACCGTACTCTGGAGTGAAAATAAAAACAATCTTTTAGTTGATTGTATCTACCAATGCCATCTACTCCACATTCTTGCTTTAATTGGTAGCTTATTTTAAGAAAACACTATGACTTCTTTGTAGAAAATGTACTTTAAGATCCCAGAAGCATTTAATTCCTCAGGAAAACTTATCAGGATGTCATATAATGATTAAAAAGACGTTCAAAATCAGTAATTTTCATCAGCTGATCTGCTTTCTTGGTATTTTATACTGTAATACCCTTTACTATATGTGATCTCTGAATAGATAAGTCAGCTTTCAATGCTCACAGTTTTTAACATAGAGTATTTTTTTTAAACTTTGAGTATTGTATAGATTAGGGACAGTGACTTTCACTGAATGAAACTATACTTACTTCTGGTATAAAGAGAATATATACTCTCATCTACACATGCTCCACTTTGCACTACAGCTGAAGGACTCTGAAAGCACACCGCTCTGGGTTTTAGCTCCAGGGCATCCCGTGGGTGGGTCACTGAGCAAAAGCATTATAGGACATCCCGTTCTACAAAGAATGAGGACAAAGCCCAGGCTTTTCTAGAAAGTTCCTCTATATATCAAGATACTGCATTCTTAGCACATTCTACAGTTATTCTAAAACTGTAAGCCAGGAAATGGGGAAGGGGAGAAGAAAGCTGGGTCCGCTGAGGCCATCTAGGGGCCAGTCCTCCTCCAGAGGCCGTTAAATTGGTCCAGGAAAGAGAAAAATATGGCTTTGATCAGGGTGGTGACAATGGAGTTCTTAATCAGTGGTAGGGTTTTTGATAGGTTTTGTAAGTGTGATAGAACCAATAAGATTTCTTTCTAGACTGGATGTAGAGTGTGAGAGAAGAGTGGTGATCCCAAAGTCATTAGCTTGGGCACCAGATGGAATTGCCATCAACGGAGATTAAGGAGGAATGATTTGTCCCTTAAATTGCACAGTTGTAGCAATAGATGAGTTTACTAGGAAATAAAACATGTGTTTGCAAAGGACTGGTCTATTTCCTTAAGAAAACAGAAACTAGGCCGGGCGCGGTGGCTCACGCCTGTAATCCCAGCACTTTGGGAGGCCGAGGCGGGCGGATCACGAGGTCAGGAGATCGAGACCATCCTGGCTAACACGGTGAAACCCTGTCTCTACTAAAAATACAAAAAATTAGCTGGGTGTCGTGGCAGGCGCCTGTAGTCCCAGCTACTCGGGAGGCTGAGGCAGGAGAATGGCATGAACCCGGGAGGCAGAGTTTGCAGTGAGCCAAGATTGCGCCACTGCACTCCAGCCTGGGTGAGACAACGAAACTCCGTCTCAAAAAAAAAAAAAAAAAAAAAGAAGACAGAAACTAAAATATTAGTGCTCATTTTATGCCTGTCTTTGTCAAAACACTAGGACATTAAATAACATGTAGGGCAATACAAACCAAAAATGTAATAAGCATGCAATGCCCATATCCTCCACCCCAGTAAAATAATTCATGTATTCAGCTTGCATCCAAATTATTTATTATTATTATTCTGCCAAAGTGTTTCACACAGGTTGCCATTTTAAATTTTGTTTTTGATGAAATGTCTGTTGAAATGCTCCTTTGGAGAAATGACTGTACTTTCTCTTGATTCCTTGACTAAATTTTCACAGAATCGTTTGATCGGAAACTATATAGAAATGTGTTCACTATTATCCATTAGAGTTTATTAAGCAATGAAAGAAATGAAGGCATAAGGATAAAACGTCTGCTCAAATTTCTGAGCAGTCACTTTCTCATTAGAGCTCTTGTATTTGGGGACTCTAATGTGGAAATACCGTGAGAATTTAAAGAACAAATAGTACATCCTCCTCCCTTAGAAGGTATCAGAATTTTTAATTTTTATATTATATTGTATTATATTATATTATATTATTATTATATTGTATTATATTATATTATATTATATTATTATATTGTATTATATTATTATATTATATTATATTATATTATATTATATTATATTATATTTTAAGACGGACTCTAGTTCTGTCACCCAGGCTGGAGTGCAGTGGCGCCATCTGGGCTCACTGCAAGCTCCGCCTCCCAGGTTCACGCCATTCTCCTGCCTCAGCCTCCCATGTAGCTGGGACTACAGGCGCCCGCCACCACGCCCGGCTAAATTTTTTTGTATTTTTAGTAGAGACGGGGTTTCACCGTGTTAGCCAGGATGGTCTCGATCTCTTGACCTCGTGATCTGCCCGTCTCAGCCTCCCAAAGTGCTGGGATTACAGCTGTGAGCCATTGCGCCCAGCCCAGAAATTTTTTTTAATGGTGAATCTTAAATGGTGAATTTAGATAATAACCTAAGATAATTTTGTAGAAATGCAAAATTTGCAAAATAATTTCTGATCATAAAAGGAGGATAGGTGAAAGCTTATCCCAGGTGGTGTCTGACCTGCTCTTGTATGTCTGGATTTTCACACTAGAGTGCAATGATGTGGCATATCCACTCTGATTTTTGCAAGTTTAAGAAGTTACTTTAGACACATTGTAATGTTTCTTTAAGCATATTTCACTCCCATAAATGGGGTAACAACAGTCCATATTAAAGTTAGTAATATATTACAATTAAAGTGTCTAATTCTCAGATCCTTTGTAACACATGGGCTACAATAAATCACATACAAAAAAAAGTCTTAAATTATTAGAATCTATTATGTAAAAAGTGACTAAGAGAATCATGCTAGTTTTCAATTTATTGCCTCTGATCTCCAAATGCAGTCTTCAATACATGTTCTGTACTAATGGACATCTTTAAGCATTTCTGCTTACCAGTAAGGATACCAGTAAGCAGAAAGAAGGCTGTTCTGCTCTTTCCAGCTGCTGCATGGTGTGCCAGCAGTGTGGGTATGAGAACATCTGGTGTCATTCTGCCCCAGTGACATGTTCAAAATACACCACCCCTCAGTCCTAGCCTGTCCTAGTGACCACTTTCATGCAGCCCTCTTGAGAGAGACGCTATGTGGTCCAGGTCTCTTGCCCACACTGCCACCCTGATTCCCTCTGCCTGCTTGTCCCTACCTTCCAGACTTGTCTTGTGAGGTCCCCCCGATGCAGCGGCCCTCCTCTCAGGGTTACCATATGCTCTAAGCTTTGTGCTGCACTGGCATTGCAGGGAAGTTTACATTTTCCCACTGAAGTTTTGATAATGTAAGCCTATGAAACAAACTGAAAATAGGCAGATTAACAGAAGAAAAGGCATACAAATTTATTAACATGCATATGGGCTTGGGTATCACATACAAAGTATTAATAAACTCAGAGCGAGGGTCAGATGGTTGAAGTTTGTATGCCATCTCGAGGCTACAGAAAGAATGGCAGCTCAGAGCATGGCCAAAACCAGGTTATGGTGGTGAATCAAGTTATGGTGGTGGGACATGTTATGGGAGGGAGAGAAGAGGAGGCCTAGCAGCAAAGCTGGTCTTGTTATGTAGCTGAAACCTCACAGGTAGCAGCCATCACAGAAAATAGATGGTAAATGTTTCTTTGAGAAGTTTAAAGGTGTCAGACTAGACTCAGATGAGGAAGGGCCCCAGAGAAACCTGGCTGTATCAAGGCAGATTCTCTATGGATGCAAACCTCCCTCCTGAGGAAAGACAGCTTTTCAGGGCTACTTCTATTTGCAGACCCTCTGAACAGCCATCTCAAAAGATGTCAAAGAAGGATATTTGGGGGTGAAATGTTTTGATTTTCTTCACAGGCATACATTTTACATGGCAGAATCATAATAAAGTATAATTAAATAAAACTAAAGTACAAGTATAATTAAAGTGAATACCTAGTCCTATAACAGATACATTCCACAAAAATGTAATGATTAACACCAGGGGCAGTTATATTTCAAGCTCATGCTTCTCAGCTTGTCTGTTCTTGTAGCAGTGTAGGTCAAATCAGAAGATAAAAACCATAGAGTGATTTCAACAGAAATTTAATATAAAGAATTATACCATGATAAAAGATTAACTATAGGATATAAGTGAACTCTATAAGTTAATCTAGAGCTGAGGGAAGATACTCAAGGAAGAACGAACTTGGAAAGAGAAGCCCTTCCCCAAAGCTGTAGTTAAGACTTTATTGGAGAAGGTGTTTTATCCTACTGAATTACAGAGAAGTCTATCTGTTTACCTGGGTCAGAGCGGGCCTGCAGTCACAGGTGAAGCCGAGCTATGGACTGAATTGCAGCCCGTCCCAATTCATAGGTTAAATCCCTAGCTGCCAATTTGGCTACATTGGAGATACAGTCAAATTGTAGGTTAGGGATTTAACCTATGAATTCGGACGAGCCGCAATTCAGTCCATAGCTCAGCTTCACCTGTGACTGCGGACCAGGTTAAGCCAAGCTATGGACTGAATTGCTATGACCTGAATTCATTTAGACTACATTTGGAAGTAATTAAAGTGACATTAGGTAATTAAAGTTACACCCCATCAGATTAGGTTGGGCCCCTAATCTGATAGGATTGGTGGCTTTTTATGAAGCCTATAAAACAAACTGATTATAGGCAGATTTTTTAAAGGCATATCCATTTATTAATGTGCATATGGATTTGGGACTCATATGCAAAGTATGAGGCTCAAAGCAGGGGTCAGATGGTTGAAGTTCTCTCTCCCTCTCTCTCTCTTTCTCTCTCCTTATACATACAGTTAAAGAAGGCCATGTGAGAACACAGCTAGAAGGTGACCATCTACAAGCCAGGAAGAGATCCCTCACCAGAAACCAACTGGCCAAAACAACATAACTTTGGACTTCCCAGCCTGCTGAACCGTGAGAAAATAAATTTCTGTGGTTTAGGCCACCTAGTCTATGGTACTTTGTTATGGCAGTTCAAGGAAACATATACAAGCAGGAAATAACTCTCTGGAATGAGGATGGGGTGCAGGTAAGCAATAGCGAGTGGCTGGGTGCCTGATATACAAAAGGAGTAAAGGTATACAAACCTTTCCTTTGCTAAAGGAAATCAAAAATATTTCACCCCAAAACATAGTTCTTTGATGTGTCTTGAGGTGGCTATTCAGAGGGCCAGCAGACAGGAATAGTGCAGAAAAGCTGACTTTCGTGGAGTAGATTTGCATCTGTGCAGAAAATCTATATAGGTGAAATAAACAGCCAGGCTTTCTCTGAGATTCCCCTTCTGCAGCATGGTATACAGGCTTCTGAACCCCACTAAGGTATTGACAATCACTCTGTGATTCTCTTTGTGCACACTAATAAATTTGCATGCCATTTCTCCTGTTAATTTACCTTTTTTGAGTTGATTTTTCAGCAAACCTTCAGAGGGCAAAGGGGAAGCTTTTCATTGGCCTCTACACCTGGTTTCCACTTGATTAATTGGCCTCCTGAAACTGCCCAGCTGTTCGAAATGATTTATGCATCTATGTGGCATGGATCACTTCACTATGTCCAGTACTAACCTAAGCAATGCAGGCTCTTGCCCATTCGAGATGAGACTCTAATAAAGCATGAACATTGTCTAAGCCACCTAAAACTTTCATAGAGAAGATAGTCATTGATTTCACATATTGGTTCACGGAAAAAAAGGATGGGACCATTATGTATAATTAACCTTACCATTATTATCATCTGAGAAGTCTTTTTCTATATTTTAAAGTAAATGTCAATTTAGATAGTGAGAACTATAAACTACATTAAGTTGAAATGAAAATGCTGACCATATGTTAATAACTTCATGTTAAGGAAATATATGCACTCGCTGAGAAAGTCTACCATTTTATGATATCATGAGCAATTAAATATTTTGAATTATTTTTCATTTTATATATATACTATTTGCATTTTTTGGTTTGCTTATAATATTCTCTTTATATACAACCCCCAAAATAAAAATAATTTGGAAAGACATGAAGAAGATGCTACCTACCACCAAGAAACTACCACCAAGATATCAAAGATAAACAGAACCAATATTTTGCTGAGCAGCCTTCCATGTATTTACATGTCCATACACATGGACTTAGGACTAAATAAATTGTCACTAGTGGAATCACACTGAATCCTTGCTAGATCATGCTAGGCCATGAGTGAAGGACTTATATATTGAGAAATAAAGAGAATCCTAAGCCCCCCACTTGACTGAACAGACTTCCTCTTGGTCAAAGGGACCAGAGGTTTTTAAGGTTTCTCTAGAGAATGGCTAACGACCATTAGGCTTTCTTCCCTAAGGGTGAAGGCAGAAACCAGCCCTTTCAAAAGTCTTGCCCAGTGATTTCAGCCAACTGCCTGACACTTGTCCTCCCTCTTGCAGCTTTAACACAGAAACTGACCAGCATTCCTTCCCAATAAGAGACCACCCACCACAGCATGGCTCTGGCTGGTCTACAAAGGCTGTGTACTAAGTGCCTTCGTATCCTCCACTTCACCTTTTGATGTACAAGGCCTAACTGAAATACACTTAAATGCTATGTCTCCACCCCAAAGTGAACATGGGACACATGTTACATACATGTTAGCCTTTCTTATTCCTCCCTCCCTGGAAGCACTTATTTTCTGCTCAGTTCAGAGGTTCAGAGTTTCTGCGTCCTGCCTGCGGGTTGTGGTAACCTGCTTTAGAAATATAGCCCTCTTCCCAAATATATGAACCATGATTCTTCAAGTGGACAGAATGATTTATGGACTTCCATAAGCATGTGCATGGTGGGCTCACAGTACACATTTCTGGAATCACTGAGTAAATGCTATCGACAAACTGTATTTTTTCAGGTTAATATTATGACATGGAGACATCCCAATTCATCAAGGTGGCTGGCTAAGATAACTTAACAACAACACCCAACTTTTGTAATTAGAAACACCTAGAGACACTAGAAAATACATAACAATTCTCCTTTCCATTCTCTGTATTTAGAGTTGGGTGTTGATAGCATTGCAGATATCAGAGATAAAGCCTTTGACCTTTGTGATATAATGAATGGGAATACAGATGCCTGCACCCAGCCAGCACATAGAAAATAGGGCACATTCAAACAGTAGACTGATTTTTTTAAAGAGAGAAAGGATAGGGAACTTTGCTATTCTCTAGGTGAAAACAGAAATTTCTCCTTAGAAATAAAGCACTATACTTATTCCTTGCAGGTATTTAGAGACTAAATATACATAATCAGCTTTGTAAGTACTTAAAATGCTTAAAATAATACATTATTATAAAGTAAGAAGTAATAATAAAATTCACCTTTATGCATATAAAAAGCCTCAATACATATGATGTAAAAGTTGACAAAATCATGATAAGTGAACAGATATTCCAGAGAGACAGTTTAAAATACCTCACTCACTGTGGGGAGGGGACAAGTTATTTAATGGATGTAGTTTCTGTTTCACAAGATGAAAAACTTGTGGAGACTGGTTGTGTTCTGAATGCGAATACACTTAACACTACTGAATTGTATTTAAAAATGGTTAAAATTGTCATTTTATGTTGTATTTTGCCACAATTAAATAATACTTCCCTCAGATACTGGTTGAGCAATAAACCAAAAACAAAATCTCAAAATAAGGATATTTGAAAACACTATTTATGAAAATTTTATGAAAAGGGTATTAACAGACCATAATACTCAAAAATGACAAAAAATGCTTTCCTTTCAAGTTGATATGAAACACTTATAAAAATTGCAGTGTACTAGGCCACAGCAAGTATCAATAAATAATAATCATCGGGCCAGGCGCAGTGGCTCACGCCTGTAATCCCAGAACTTTGGGAGGGCTAGGTGGTCAGAACACGAGGTCAGGAAATCGAGACCATCCTGGCCAACATGGTGAAACCCTGTCTCTACTAAAAATACAAAAATTAGCTGGGTGTGGTGACACGTGCCTGTAATCCCAGCTACTCAGGAGGCTGAGGCAGGAGAATTGCTTGAACCCAGGAGGGAGAGGTTGCAGTGAGCTGAGATGGTGCCATTGCACTCCAGCCTGGCAATAGAGTGAGACTCCATCTCAAAAAAAAAAAAGTAATAATAATAATTAATATGATCATATTCTTAGACCACAATTTGACAACATAGATTTTGTTAACCAGAAGATCACAATATACTATACTTTGTGAAATTTAAAAATACATTTGAAATAAGAAAATGAAGTTATGTTTAGAACAGAATGGCAATAAAAACACTACATATCAAAGCTTGTATATGTTTGGTGCAACTAAAGCATTCTTTAGAAGGTGGTTTGTATTTGTAAATATATTTATTAGTAAAGAGAAAGCCTAAAAAAATATCAGTGGGGTAGGTAACTCCATCAGAAGGGAGACTCCATACATAAGACTACTTACATGACTACAGAGTTATATAAGAAAGACAAACAGCTCAAAATGTAGAAATAGCCAAATTATAAGGGAACCCAGTGCATGAGATGTTCTGCTTCAGGTCCATTGGGAAAGAATGGGCAACTCTAAATATTAATGGTACTGGGACATTAGTTACAGATGAGAAAAAATATAAAATTGGACCCCTACCTGTCACTGGACACAAAAAAACAAATGTAAGTTCTAATGAGTTAAAATAAAAAATAAAAAACTTTAAAATTCAGAAAATATGAAGAAATAGTTTATACCTTCCAGTGGACAAGGATTTCATACCCAAAACACAAAACTATGAAGTAAAACATTGGTTCATTTTACAACAATAATATTAACATTTTAGTTTATCAAAAGACTTTATAAAAAGGGAATAGAAGCCATTAGCGGAAAGAAGATGATTTGCAACACCTATGAAAAAGGAGTAGTGTTTATGGAATATGAAGAATTCATACAAATCAGAAGAGAAACGAATACAAAACTGGACAAAGGAAACATATAACCTGGCATTTCATAAACAAAGAAAATCATATTACTTATAAACTTAACAAAGATGCTCCACCTCCACATGTGGAAGTCAAGAACAACTGAAGTTCAGCAGAACACCCTGAAGTCAAGATTTTGTCGTGTGTATGTGTGTGTGAGAATGTGTGTATATTTTTTATGTTCTGAGTCTGCATATTTTATTGTATACTTTATGGACATTTTCCCATGTCATTAAGTTAAGAGAAAAGCATTGATGACTCATTCAACATATATTTAGCGAGTTGTTACCATGTGCAGTATAGTTTTCTAATTACTGGAGCTAGATGAATGAACGAAATAAAAACAAAAATCTCTGCCTTCATGAAGATTCTATTCTGGGAAAGGCAGACCATAAACAAGAAAAATATAGTATATTAGACAGTGATGAGTGTTAAGAAGCAAAGTAAAATAGAAGGCTAAAAAGCATTGGTCGGGGGAGTGAAAATTTTGAAGTTCAATATGTGAGTAAAGTTCTAACTGAATCAATCAGCCATACATAGGAATATTGTACAATTCAATCATCTCTCCAAGGTTCAATATTTAGGTATTTCTATACTTTGACATTGTAATAAAAGAAAGTGAAAACACTGTCACATGTCTTTGCCAGTGTCTCCAATTATTACCTTAGAAAGGTTTCTTTTTTTTTTTAATCTTTTTAATTTTTTTCTTAAGACAGTCTTACTCTTGTCGACCAGTCTGTAATGCAGTGGCATGATCTGAAGGAAGTTGCCAATGACAATAAGACAGTTCACTCAAATGTTACCTCTAGAGGCAGACAGTAATTCCTGCCACAAATATATTTTAAAATCCTAAATTTATTGTTAAAGATCTGGTAATGGTTAGTACAGTAACAGAGATGGAAGGGGAAAGAAACATATCAATGAGATGTTTTTCTATAAACAATATAGACAAAGAGAATCAAATGTTCTGTTACATTAGACATCACAGCCACTCATGTAATCTCAATGTATGGTTCTATACGGAAAGAGCAGCTGATTTCGGAAAACACATCCCCCCAAAAAGCTGTCTAAAGCAGTAGAAAGGAAATCTTTGAGCCACCAAGTTGTAAACTGAAGAGCTCCCCAAAGGCTCATGACATACGATACTGTATCTGGTCCTAAGTCCAGCAGCTTGCCACCTAAAAGCCAGAGTCAAGACATGGATGGGTGGAAGGAAAAAATGGTTTTAATCAAGGTGTGAGAGCGGCAGGAAGGAAGATAAAGCGAGTGGATGACTGAAGTATATTTTTAAAACTGAGGTCCTTAGTTACAATACCGTTGAGAGTGTGGGGGAATAAGGCCGGAGGGATGACCAGCTTCAAAGGAGGCTGCTCACAGGGTTTCCTATGTGAGCGCTGCAATCTGCAGTTATGTAACTTGGAGGATTAAGTGGGGCTGGAAACAGGAGGATTTATTGAATGTCTGTTTTAGTGTTTTAGGAGTGGTTGAAGACGGCCCCACATGTCCATTTCTGTATAAAGGACAAAATGTTCATTTTCCATAGAGGATAAAACAGAGAGTCTCTGGACTGGAGACCACGGAGACCAATTGAGGAAAGGGTACAATATTGAAAACAAAGTACACACTGAAAATTGAGATTCGCAGCTTTTCTCATTTCTAGCTTTTAGGATGCTGACAACAGGGCTTCCTTCCTCCAAAAAGAGAAATAAATAAATCAATAAATATTCATCTGTGGGGATTAGACCAGGTCAGTAAAGGTAAGCCAAAAAATCCTGACATTGGTCTGGCACAGGGGCTCACGCCTATAATCCCAGCACTTTGGGAGGCTGAAGCGGGCGGATCACGAGGTCAAGAAATCGAGACCATCCTGGCCAACATGGTGAAACCCCGTCTCTACTAAAAATACAATAATCAGTTGGGCATAGTGGCACGTGCCTGTAGTCCTAGCTACTCGGGAGGCTGAGGCAGGAGAATCACTTGAACCCGGGAGGTGAAGGTTGCAGTGAGCCGAGATCGCGCCACTGCACTCCAGCCTGGTGACTGAGCGAGACTCTGTTTCAAAAAAAAAAAAAATCCTGACATTAGGCATTTCCCCCAAAAATAGATCTAATAGCAAAATAATGGTCCTAGTGGTGAGTTTCCAACACTAAATAACTAGAGGGATTTCAGGGCAAGCATGTGGGGCTTTGACTAGTAAGTAAAGACTAGTAAGTAAACCCTGGATTTAAATCACAATGTGAGTTCTGGAGATCTCACAGTGTGAGTTCTGGAGAGCTCTGAGCAGTGGAGAGATGGAAGGGGCTTCATGGGAGACTCATCCAGCCAGGAAAGAGAACTTTAGAAGGTTGAGCCTGAAAGCAGGGAGCTCACTGCGGATGTGAGAGGGGTTGGGGGTCGGGGGGGGCAGGGGGGAGGGAGGGGAGGTTGGCATTCAGTCCACAGGGCTCCTGGGTTTTTCTGAACCTAGAGACTTCCTAAAATATTTAGTATTCCTGAGATTAATGTCTATTACCTATTTTCTGAATGGCATGCTTTGTAGTTCTTCTTATAGGAAAGTTCTTGTTCATTATAAGACAATTACGAACTTCCTGAAACTCTAAAGAAAGCTGAATGTTGCAAAGTAAGCTCACGGCTGAAAATACTCTTCCATTTTCAACAACCTTGTTACAAAACTCGGCAAAGAGAAGACTCTTAGTGAACACACAAAGGGGACCTGAATCAGGAGAAGCTCAGGCTCTCCCAGGAGCTCCCCTAAAGGGTTTAGATGCGTCTCAGAGGAGCTTCCACAAAATGGAGTTCTCCTGGAAACAATCACTGACTAGTTGTTTTCTCTTAAAATATCAATTTCCTAACAGTAAGAGAAAATTAAAACACATTTAAATTATATAGAGTTTATTTGAGCATTTGGAGATTCTTTTTGTTTTCTTTTCTCTTTTCTTTTCTTTTTTTCTTTCTTTTGAAACAGAGTTTCCCTCTTGTTTTGCAGGCTGGATTGCAATGGGTCCATCTCGGCTCACTGCAACTTCTGCCTCCTGGGTTCAAGCAATTCTCCTGCCTCAGCCTCCCGAGTAGCTGGGATTACAGGTGCCTGCCACCACGCCAGGCTAATTTTTGTATTTTTCGTAGAGATGGGGGTTCACCATATTGAACAGGCTGATCTCGAACTCCTGACCTCAGGTGATCCACCCGCCTCAGACTCCCAAAGTGCTGGGAATATAGGTGTGAGCCACCACACCCAGCCCATTTGCTCTAGCAGATTATTCTCTACTCATGTAAGGGTGGAAAGTATATGTCGTTTGTTTACTGTGACTCTTCCAGTTTCTTTTTTACAGAGAACCCACAAAGCTAGAAGATGGCTACTAGATGAATTATGTGGGCTCTCCAGAGTTGCAAGTAACTATACCATAAGAAATTGAAATTCATGCTTTTCATTTAAATTGTCAAATTTCTTGCCTTAAAGTTGTTCAGCATACATATTATTATAATCCTTGTAGTATCTCTAGGGTCTATAATAATGTCCCATTTTATATTCTTGATATTGGTGATGTTTTCCTTTTGCTAGGTGTTTTGCAGTTTTTAATAATCTTTTCAAAGCATCAGCTTTTGGCAGCACAGATTTTATTATTGGTCTGTGTTCCATTTCATTGGTTTTCATTTTATTTTTAATTTTTTCTATTTACTTTTGATGCTTAATACTTTATTTTCAAATAGTTAAAATTTTATAGAAATCAAAGGTGCATATAAGGCTTTGACTTTAACAAATTAAAGCAAAATGAGATTTTTACAACTTCTTCAATGTTAATTTAGTAATAAAATGTTTTTTATTAGCCAAAATATTTCTGCTTTTTCCAAGATGAATGATTTCCCAGTGAAGGAGCTTTGATTCTAAGAAATTGTTCTTGTCTCTTCTTGACTAAGATTTTTAAATGATGAAATGAAGCACCATTCTTTAAATGTCTCATGTAATATTTACTATAGACTGCTGATAATCTTTTAAAGCAGCTAAGGATGTTAAAATGCTGCCTTTGAGGTAACCAGCCATTTTACAGGAAATATGATACTATTTGGTGTTTTAAAGATGTTAAAATTAATTTCAGTCCTTGAAAATATGTATATAGAAACGTATATAATTTACATGAGAAAATAGCCTTGGTATTTCAAGAGGAAATAAAAATTGTTGTGCCAAACTGTGCTGGGTTTATTATCTATATTCGAGTTATGAATTCATATTATTAAGGTCTTTTAATTCAAGAGATGAAGAAATAGTTTAAATATTTCACTCCAAGTGAATGGTCTGTCTCTTAGATGATTAAAGAAACAGAATAGTTCTTCTCTACTTTTTGTCATAGTGACTAATACTAGCAAAGCACTTCAGTCCTTCTCTAGGAAAATCACCTTGTTTTTCTACATGATTTGTCTCTCAGTTACGCACATGTTCTATTTCCTGGGCAGGGGTGGAAGGGGAGTTGCTCTGTAGAATCTCTGGTCTCACGGCAGACCCTGTGAGCAAGAAATAAACTTAGAGGAGGCCAGCCACTGAGACTTGGAGGGTTTATTTGCCATTACCGCACAGCCCATCTTATCCTGGAAAATGTACCACATGAACACAAACATAAAAAACAAGACATTTTGTATTTTAAAAATATAACTCAAATTAAAAACAACAAGCTTTTATAACCTGATGTTAGCATAATCATTTGCAAATATTACTGGATATTGTGCCAGTGGCTGTAGTTGGGATGAGGGTCACAGCTGTGCCGCAGAAATATGACCTGGATCGTGGGTCGGGAGAAATCTTTGGCCCTAAGTCTCTTGGCCATCAGAGGCAACTGCAAAATCAAAGTGCACCAAATACTCCCATTCTTGCTGCACTTTGTGATGAGCTATAGAAATTCAGAAAATGCCAGCCACCCAGGATGTTGGTTGGACCTTTGCCCTCAGAAGGTTTGCCCATCTGGGTCATCATAGAGGAGATGGTGGCTGGACCAAGGCTCTGATAATCTGCTCCTAATGTTCATCTTTCTAGTGCAATGCCCATTCATCAGGACAAAGAGAGAAGGAGCCCTTTACTGCCTCTCCCTCCTGAGGGCCGCGGGCTGTTAGGGCTGGCCTCCGTCCTCGATGCAGTGTGCAGGTTATTGTGGATGATCATCTTGGTACTGGGCCTCTCCTGCCTGCTGGGTCAGGCTTGGTGGATAAAGAGACTGGCTCACCACTGCAAGAGTCTTCTGGGCTGACATATGGTGAGTGAGGCATTTGATGGGTGTAATTCTGGTCTGCGGGATTTATTGCCGTAAGTTGGTCAGTGCTGCCTGGTGGTGAAGTGAAGCCATCCTTTGATGGCTTCATCTATTGCGGACATGATATTCTATATCTTCTCTGGTGCTGACCCTCTTCATACCCTGCAACAAGTTCCAGAAGTGGAAACAGTAAAACATCTGCCTCTCTGTCACCACGTTTTTCTCTGTGATCATCTGAAGAGACTGTATGACATGAGCCTCTTCATCAGAGCTGAGCTGAGGCCTGGAGACCTGTGAGGTCACCGCATTGTGCCCATCTTCCTCTCATTAATGGGCAGGACTTTCTCATCTCCCTTTTCATCTTCCATGTCATCTTCAGTTTTCAGTGAGCCATCATTCCAACCTGCTGGCAAACACCCAGGAATGGAGGACATGGAGTTAGAAGAGTCAGTGCATGAACAGCAAGACCTTCTAGATGCATGAGCACAACGCAGCTCTCTGAACGGCACGATTTCCCAAAGGCGCTTTGGGAAAACTTACCTGATTGTCCTCTTAGAAGAAACAGGTATCGGCCCACTGGGATAGTGGTGGTGCTCCACGATGAGACTATCCCAAATGCTACATCAAGTTACACTGGAAACAGCTCCAGTGAAAGACTTTAGCTCCATAAGGAGAACTTATTAGTGGGATACATAGCATGGTTCTTCCCTGGGAGTCTCTAACCTGGTCACCCCATTCGCACATTTAAAATTATTTTACTAAAGACTGCGGGAATAAACCTCAGAAAACCAGTAGGTGCAGGAGAGGGGCTAAGGAAAGGGAGTTAGTTAAGGGTAAAAGAAACAATCATTTGGACTCTCTCACACACATTCTATTTCCTGGTTTTATCTTTTTTGGAGATGAAATCAATGATAGCTGAATAAGGCTCACAGCTGGAGGCTTGAAATTCTAGATAAGAAATTTCATGCCAATTTTAATACAACTGGATAGAAAAACTAACACCAGGTGCCTCAAGCTTCACACACACACACACACACACACACACACACACACACACACACACACATCAACTGGCTTACAATCCCTGCAACTAAAGCAAATCCAATTGCAGACAGTGCTGGACTCACTGGAAAAGAGCTGGTGATTGTTTCTCCACTGGGTGTCAGAAAGAAGCAAATTTGCAGCCCTTGGGCTGGGCTGCTATTGGTTGATGGGTGTGGAGTCCCCTCCCAGGTCTCCTTTAGAAAAGCTTTGGATTCCAGGTATCACCTCGGACAGCATTTCTTCATAGAGGATGCTGTGGTTCCTTCTTACCTGATCACCTGTGGTAAGAAAGCCAAAGACTCCACCCTCTTCACCCCAGAACAGCCATAGAAATTCTCTGAGGCAGCAGGCTGACATTTCTAGTTAGCAGTTGCTTCTGCTTTGACTCAAGAAAGGTAAGTATTTCACTAGAGCTTATATTAGAAAATCTGGAGTTTGGGATTTTCTTGCTTTTCTTTCAGGGATGTGAGCACATACTACAGGAGAGCTGGCTTTGAAGCCTCTTAGGTTTGTTTTCGTACTCAGACCAAGCTGGGTCCCCTGAGCACTTTTGCATTGCTGGTAAGGAAGGTGAGCGCAAGCCTCTCTCTCACACACAGGTGGACTTCATTGTGATGCTATAGAAATCTCCTAAAGGACGCAGTGGCAGGACATACCCAGCATAGTAACACTACCCTTCACATTGGTCATTTTGGTATAATTTTAAAACTCATACTAGTGTATTTAAGGCATTTTATAGTTATCAAGCAAATTTTACACTTTAATGCTAATAAATAATTTATCCTACAAAATCTTATGTATACATGGGATAGATTAAATATGTAAGAAAGCATGATATATGTATGCTGATCAACTATAATTAATCAGCACGTCTGACTAGACCTGAATATAGATAACCACTCATTTCAGTCATGAAGCTCCAGGTGGAGTAGAATTATGTGAAGAGCTTGCAGAAAAATGATTTTGTTTGTTCAAATTCCTCTATTCAGCCAGATGCCAGCATTCATCTTGCATGCACGGTCTGGTCTTACTTTCATGGTTTTTGTCATGCTCTCCAGCCATCTTATCTGAGGGCGCTCTGGTGTTTCTTCCACCCTCAAGGCACGGTCATGGACCCAGGTCAGGGAAAACTATAGCCTGCACATTCATAGCCATGTCCTTATCTGCATCATGGCCACCTTCACATGACACGAGTTAGGACACCTCTGCATTTCTGTAATAACAGATCTCCCAGAACCCTCATTTTCTGGGCTTATACAGGTTGTTTAATGTCCATCAAGTTAATTGAGTGAAATCAACTTTGACAACAGCCTTTGTCATCCATAGTGAGAGATAACTCAAGAGATACCATGTTTGATTTGGGTCCTTCCAGTTAAATTTCATTTTTACTTAAAAGCATGTGAAAGTACTGGTTCATTTAACATAAGTATCATCAACTAGTTTCCCCTGATCTCTCCAGGGCACCCAGATCCCAGGGCAGGGTCCTGCTCCCTTCCTTCTCTCCCCACCTACGGAGGCGCTCTCCTTTCCTTCTCCCTCTGCCTGGGGAGCTAGCCTGAGCACCACACTGAACTCCATCAGACCCCAAGAAAGAAATCAAGAATGGCAACTGAAATTTGTCATGCTTGAAGCAGCACCTCCTGGAAGACCTATGAGTTTTGCTCAAGAAACTTTTGGGAACCAATAAAACTAAACTATAGTGATGAATATATATACATATTTTTTGAGCAGGATAACATTGCCAGGAAACTTGAATGTTACTCTTCAAGTATGGGATGTAGGGGGTGCGTACAATAGGCGGCAAGAAGGTGGATGCATTTATCTATGGACCACAGAGAATCCTCTTGTTACAAATTAGCAAAGCTTGGAGAATTTAAAAGATTGGTACAGCCAGGCGCGGTGGCTCATGTCTGTCATCCCAGCACTTTGGTAGGCCGAGGCGGGCGGATCACGAGATCAGGAGATCGAGACCATTCTGGCGAACACGGTGAAACCCTGTCTCTACTAAAAATACAAAAAAAAATTAGCCGGGCGTGGTGGCGGGGGCCTGTAGTCCCAGCTACTCGGGAGGCTGAGGCAGGAGAATGGTGTGAACCCCGGGAGGCGGAGCTTGCAGTGGGCCGAGATCGCGCCACTGCACTCCAGCCTGGGCGACAGCGAGACTCCATCTCAAAAAAAAAAAAAAAAAAAGATGGGTACATTGTACTGAAGAAAGTGAGCGAAGAGTCAGAAGCTTTGCTACTGGTTGCCTTGGTGAGCAATAAAATTTATTTGGAGCACATGGAAACAGTAAAACCTGAAAAACACTTATGGTTTTGCCAGGAAAATGGTTTTAGTAGCCACTTTATCTCAGCCAAGACAGGAGACTGTCTTCCTGTATTTTCAGAAAGTTGCTAATGAAATCCTTGGACTCAAATTAAACAAAGCAGAAAAATAGAAGAGTCAGAGAGTGGTGAAGGCAGGTATTGGAAACTACAACCAGGCCCCCAGAATGGTGACTCTTCCTACAAGCTCTATGTCTGCATCCGTGAGGGCATTTGTTTTTAACTAATAGTTCTGGCTGCACCTCACCTCTGCGTGGGCCTGAGCATGTTTGGAAACTTGTTTTGCACGCAGCCATCTCTGTAGTTCAGTTAACACTTTCCTAGCTCACTTCATCATCAAGTGTTGCCTCACAGGCCAAAGGCAGCTCCTTGGACTGGTAAGAATTCAATTTGGGGACCACAGTCTTTGAGTTCAAAATGGAAAGCTCATTCTCTGGAATTAGGCTGTTTCATCCAAAAAGAATACTGGCTCTCTTTGTATCCTCCCCTTTTTTCTCCTTCATGTAAATACACAAAATATTGAATGGCTGCATGAAAGATGAAAAGTGTCCAAGTCTTCATCATCAGCCAGGATTTTGCTACAGCAGCTTCATTGTCCTACCTGAACTCGTACATGGCAAATCATACTTCAGAATGCAAGCATTTAAACACAGAATATATTTTACCTACAGAAGGTCCTTTGCCATTTTGAGTGAAAATATATAAACCTATGTCTAACTGAAAATGCTTGAAATAAAGTTGTAATCAAATTTCTTTTATTTTTTTAAGAAGAGCCTAAATTGTTTACGTCATAGCTTGTAAAAATAGTATCAGATATTGTATTTTTACTATTGTATGATGGTCACTATGTACTACGTAACATTCAGGTTAAATAGCTTTATGAATTTTGATAAATGTTCCTCTGTAGCTCCACATGTAATTTCTCTTGCAAACTGTATAAGAATACTCCTAGAATGAGTTATGACAGATCGTTGGATCATTGTGGATCAGACCATACCTGATGTTCAGATATTTTTTCTTCCACAGATACATTTATTTAAATGACTTTTTAAAAGTGACATAAACTAATTGGGCACACTGTAATAATCTCAGGCACCACTGCCTGAGAACTGATGTTTCTGCTGCTTTTCCCTTATCTTGACCTATTCTTCATGGTTACATGATAGTCATATACAGTATATGCCCTTGTTCATCTATAATTCAAGTGTATTCCTTTCTCTGGGCTAACATGGTTATTATTTTCTTTCCATTTGTTTTCAGAAAACAAATTTTATTTCATTACAATGAACTGAGCATGTTTATTTATTTTAATAAGTTGTCCCTGTATAATTTTATTGTGCTACCTTTTTTATTATCCATGTCTTCAGAAAATATTTATGTAAGAAAGATATTCATAATACTGATGTATCATTATATTAATCTTATTTGTAATCCAATCATTTTCTTTTATATTTCTTAAATAAACTACACTAGAATTATGTCACAAGTAAAGTTTTGTAGATCACCATCTTCTTACTGTTACTTTGTAACTGGGGAATTCTGAAATAACAATATTATTGTAGCTTATATTATTTTTCTGTTAATCAAAGATACATTTAATTAATTAGAATTTTTTCCTTTTTGTACTCAGGTTCTACCACTCTTCTATTTTGCATTAGAGAGTTCTTAAAGAAAGCTGTTGATTGGATATAGTAAATAATTTAAAAATCAATGTTTAATATATAAAGTTTTTCTTACTAAAAAAAATCACCCAATTAAAAGTGGGCTAAAGATGGGAATGGACATTTTGCAGAAATAAATAAACCACAATTGACCCATAAAAATTTTTTTTTTTTTGAGACCGAGTGTCACTCTGTCACCCAGGCTGGAGTGCAGTGGCACAAGTTCGGCTTACTGCAACCTCCACCTCCCAGGTTCAAGCAATTCTCATGCCTCAGGCTCTCGAGTAGCTAGGACTACAGGCACACACCACCACACCTGGCTAATTTTTGTTTTTGTTTTTGTTTTTAGTAGAGACAGGGGTTCCACCATGTCAGCCAGGCTGGTCTCGAACTGACCTCAAGTGATCCGCTGGCCTCGGCCTCCCAAAGTGCTGGGATTACGAGCGTGAGCCATCAGACCTGGCCGACCTATAAACTCTTTTTTTTTCTTCTTATTCCTTGAAACTGCTCGTATTGCAAGTTTTTCATGGATGAAATATGGAATTGAGCAGATTCTTTTTTTCTACAAAATTATGGTATAAACTTGCTCAATTTTCTATCTTATTGCTAATACATCTTACAGGCACACAGTTTGTAAAGTAAACCCCTTAAGGGCTGAGTGCGTAGAGTGTGCTGCAAGGTACAAGAAATAAGCTAAAAATGAGCATATAAACCTACATCTGGACCAACACGGTACTGAATGCTGGAGTCTGAGCAAAGAATGAGTGATGAAAACAGCAAAGCTGGAAAAAAATGCTACTAATAATAATTTCTGAAAAGTCTATTAATGAAAATTTTTTCAAAATAGCCCAGGAAACCAGAAAGACAATGTTCTGTATGGAAACACTGCAGGAAGTTACAGTTTTGCATTCATAAATTACCGTGGCTCCTGTTTTATGGGACAGTAAAAGCTTACCACAATCTAGAGGTAGTTTTTACTCTAAGAAGGATGATTGTATTACTAGACTGTGCCGTATCATATTATGCACGTGGTTCTTGTACTAAATGTAGCCCAAAGAGTCTGCTGCAATTTCGAAGAATCCGAACAAAAGCTAAGCGAAGTTCAGGAATGAAAGCAAGGTACAACTGCCGAGTTTCGCATGCAAGGCCAATGTACAACCCTGAATGCAACCAAATCTCAGCTGAAAGGAAAAGAAACATTTTCTGAGTTAGGAGACATTTGTGGAGATGCTCAGTACTGGAGAAGAGAAAACAAACAAAAAAGGCAGGGAAAAGAAAAATAAAAACACAAGTTACATTTGCATTTCATAATCTTACAACTATCTGTTTCTAAAGTACTGTCTTCCAGCTATTTTAGTTGATCATCTAATAAAAGCATCTTATGTTTTAAGATTACAATGATGTTCTGGCCTAGGCTACCCCCTCCAACACCCCCAAAAAGTAAAGTTAATAAAACATGCTTTTGCTGAGATCTTCCTCATTCTACCATAAGGGCACCATCTCCCAACTGGTAGCAGATGCTTCTCATGATATTTTTTGTCACTTGCCAACAAGGCAGAAAATACTCTGCTGGATGAAATCACTGGGAACATTCCAAGTTCAAAATGAAATGTTTAACTTATACGTAATACAAGTTATGTACAAGATCAGGAGCGGGGAAAAACCTGAACAAATCCTGGAACACACATAATGTATTTACGTTATGGGAAAAGGAGAGAGAACACTTCAAATATCAACATGTTTTGCGCTATTAACTCATTTATGGCAAAATGGCCACACCAAATTGCATGTGAATGTTAGAACCTCTTGGATAACCACTAGAAATACTTTTTTTTAAAAAAAGGAAAATGCAGAAATAACTACCAACAGTGTCTGCGAAGAGAGACTAAGTTAACATACATTGCATGTGTTGCAGGCAAGGCAGAGGCAGCTTTTTAAAGCTTTTGCACAGACTTCACATAATCTTAAAAAAAAATGTAGGCCTTCACAAGATTTGACTTGCTGAAATCCAAACAATTTTGACTCACGAAAAGTCGTAAGACTTCAGCTGGAAAAAAAAAAAAAAGCTCTAGCCTCGGACCAAAAAAAAACTTGGAAGAACATGATAATTAGATTAAGCAAGCATGGCCAGGCTTGGAACCTGAATGTATTTTAAAGCAAAAGCTCAAAGGTGAGTGGGGAAGAGAACAACCTCTTTGGTGACAAGATGTACTATAATACCATGATATAAAAAAGGGTATGGTGAATATGTGAAAATGTACCTTTTACTAAAGCTTATACAATATACAAGTTACTTGGTCCATAAAAACTATGTTAGATTTATGTCTTCTAGTTTGTTCAACTTGTATTCCAGCCACATTATTTACTTCTTGCCCACTTAAACAAAACCAAACAAAAACCAACCAACCAACCAACCAACCAACCAACCAACCAACAAAACAGCTGAAAAAATTAATTTCCAAGTTTTTACATTTTGATGTTTTTTTGTTTTACTGTGGCTTCTGCATTTCAAATCAGCACTTGCAGATAGATAGTGGGGTTTTAGAATAGTATCACCTGGTGTGAAAAGTTTTCCCAATAAACCACAAAAGACTGTTCATTTTTTTCTCCTTTTTTGTCAACTTTTTGCTGCACTCAAGTCCGTTTAAGTCTTAGCAAAAAGACGGTAGTTAGGATACCACTGTTGGTGTAGATGATGTGACACTGGTTGAATTTGTGCTGGCGTTTGTGTAACTTCCGTCGCTGTTTGTGTTTAATTCATTAGGGGGCACGTGGCTTGAACTGGCTTGAAGGATGGCACCTGCTACACTGCAATGTGGCCGCGGCCCTGCTTCTGGTGTGTAGGTAAAGGTAAGGCTGGTGGAATATATGATTCCATCATTTCGGACCAAAGTTACTGAAACCTGTATTGGTTGCTGGACCTATCTCCAACCTTCTCAGAATGCAGAAACGTCTGGGACAACACGAGCATACTCTCTCCACACCTGTACATAGCTTCAGCTTCTACATCCCCAAACCACACTTGTAAATTTGGAGTGAAATTCTGTCCTGTAAGTTCAAGCATTGGTTCGTCCCCACCGCCATTCAACTTAAGGCTCTCTACGACAGGCGGAGGCATGACCAGGGCAAGGACAGGGCCCACTCTCTCATAAAATGTATGCTTCGCCTTATGTGTGCTAATGATTGCCCAGGAAGCACCATCATTTATCTTCTCTTTATTTGGTTCTTTTGGGCATGGAGTGGCCTGAAATTGAATTATTCTTTCTTGAGAAAGGCATAAGTACTTTCTTTCTGTATCCTCAAGGTCAAATGCACATTTATGGAGTTGTGACACAGGATCATCTGCATCCAATAATGTGGTCTGCTTATCAACTTTCCTAATTATCAATCTTGGGAGTGCCATGCCAGTAACTGAGCACACAAGTTTGACTGTTTGTCCATAATGAATGTAGCCATCTCAGACTGTGAATTCTTCTCCTTCTGATCCATCATCATCCAAGAATAATGTAAAATGCTCCCCATTGCTGTGAACTAGCATGAAAATTACCTCTTTCTACGTGCAAGTATCTGGTACTAACTGTCTGGGATAGTAGTCGATTAAACAGAGCCACCTTTTTTCCTGAGGCAATGCATAAGTCAGCATTTTTCAATGACTGCTTCTTTTTGGAAGGTTTGGACGACTTGCTGAGGAACACACCAATGTCATCACTGTTGCCATAGAACACCTTTACAGACAACATGAAGTGCTTTTGCTTGTCTAAATCAGATATGTACAATGTTTTGGCTGTGCAATAGTTCTTTCCTTCCAAGTTTAGCTGCTGCATTTCTTGGTCACTATTTCCTATGCCAATAAATGCACTTGGTTGAGACCCTTGTTCAGAACAACCATCGCATTTCATTTGTTATTTTATTTTCTTCCATCCACTGCCCATAAGATATACACAAGGGGGAGGGCAAAAAAAACCTTTTTTCATTTCCATATGACTTCTGTACAACTTTTGCATGAAGGCTAAGTACTATTTGATCCCCTTACCCTTTTAAATAATTTCACATAGCTTCCCTAGTAAGTCGTTTAAATGGAGGCCACTTACCAAATTTCCTTTTAATCCATGCCATGGTACCTCAAGAACATGTTAAGGTAAGTAACAGCTTGGAACTTTTCAATGCACCTCAAAACACCTCAGCCAGTGTATCTGTATCATTCTCCTTCATTTTGAAATAATAATGTTTCCAAAGAACTGTAATGCTTCCATTTGAATGATAGTCTTATAATTTCAATGACGTTCCACAGGCTGTACAGGAAGCATGGCAGCATCTGCTTCTGGGGAGTCTTCAGGGGGCTTTTACTCGTGGCAGACAGCAAAGCAGGAGCAAGTAACTTACATCCCCATAAACTCTTAAATGATTAGTAATCACAGACCATGATAACATACTAATTTTTATGTACTGGAACAACTAAAATTAAGAAGTCTGATAAGAGAAAGAAAATCCAACATTACATGCCTCTGAATATGATTCAATAGGAAGCACACTGCACCACCTTTGAAGTATTCTTGCCAAAAGAATATAAAACTAAAAGAACTTAAATCAACCTCTTGTTCTAACTATCAGTTTATATGTGTTAAATTATACCATAAGGCTGCACTAAGCCAAACACAAAATGTGGGAAATTCTACAGGCGAATGACCTAGTTTTTTCTGCAAATACATGGAGTCAGGTGGGAAGAAGATATTGTGATCAATTAAAACTGTTAAAGTTAAAGAAAGAGGAAAGAAACATGAAAAGTGGCTTAAGAGTCAAAGACAGGTTTATTTTGGAGAATAAACCTGAGAGGGGCTTCTGGCCGATTTCGGTTAGGAACACTCTCTCTTCCAGAGTAAGAGTATTTATTGGTGAGAGAGCTTATCACAGGCTTGGAATGTTTCTGTATGGGGGAGAAGCTCATGGCGGGTTTGGAATGTCTATGGTCAGAGGGGAGGTTTTCTTGGGGCTGACATCTCTCCAGCTGGAGGGGAGGTTATCTGGGGGCTGGCATGTCTCTGGTCAGGGAGGGGTTTATCCTATGGTTGGAATGTTTCTGGTTGGACATGTCATTTGTGGTTTATGGTCATGCTGACCTTAGCCATTAGGCTGATGCCCTTTGGATTTAGGTGGTTTTTAGGTGGATCAAGGGGAACTTTAGAATGGTGGTACTTGTCCATGATGGCGATGCTCCTGCTCTGTCAAAAACCTCTGTCAACCAAATGCAGTGTGCGTGGACTTGTTTGGATTCTCACTGAAAAAGAGATCTGTGAGACAATCATGAAAACCTGAACACCAAACATTAGATGATATTAAGGAATTACTGTTAATTTATTTAGTTGTGTTAATGGTACTACTATCATGTATTTTAAAAGTCCTTTCCCTTAAAGATACATAGCTATATATTTTAAAATGATATAATATGATGTCTGGGGTTTGTGCTAAAATTATGCTTGAGTGTGTGTTTGTGGGAGGGATATATATGAAATTTTAAGACTACTCCATATATTTATAATTATTGAAGTAGAGTGTAAGGAATACATTGGGTTTTATTACTTTTGTCTCTACTTCCATGTATGTTTGAAAATTTTCATAATAAAAATTGTAAATAAAAGTCTAATAAAAATCATAGTTTTAAAAATTAGGATGAAAAATCATGAATAACAAATAAGATCTAATAAAAATATTGTATAGTGTCATAGTGTAAAAGTATTTTATGAAGACACATATTGGTAATTATATTTTAAAACTCCATAAATCGAAAAGTTCAACAACCATACTGTAACCTCCTGATGGGTTCTTCCCGCCTGCTGCACAAAAAAAATCAATTCACAGAGACCAGGGCATTGCAGTAAAGGAAGAATTTAATTGATGTGAAGCCAGCCACACCACACAGGAGGTGGAGTTATTAAATCAAACTCATCAAAAGCTTGTAGGTTAGGGTTCTTTCAAAGGTAATTTGGGGGAAGTGATGAGGGTGGCTAGGCAATGGCTGCTTTCTGCTGATTGTTTTGGGGGTGCAATCTTAACATGGGAAAAGATCCTGCTCTGTGCTGAATGGCTTCTGCTTCTGCATGGGGCCACATGAGCAGTTGGTGGGTTCAGAAGGCACCATAATTGGTGCCAAACACGCAAAATATCTGAAAGGCTATCTCAAAAGGCCAATCTTGGGTTCTACAGTAGTGATGTTATCTGCAGGAGTAATTGGAAAAGTTGCATATCTCGTGACCTCTGGAATAATGGCTGGCAGTCTTTTATGTCTAACCCTTTGCCGAATTCAGGCTCTTCTCCTCCTAGCCTGGTGGTCTCTCATTAGCTTTATAAAGGTGATTGAGTTTTGGAGAAGGACTATTATCATTTAAACTGTAAACTACATGTCTCCCAAAGCTAGCCCATCCTAAGCCTGGTAATAATTAAGGCAACATGAAGGTAAAATATAAGAGGGAAGTTGGCTATATTAGATCTTCCCCACTGCCATAATTTTCTCACTGTTATAATTATTGCAAATGCAGTTTCAATATGAGTTGTTTTTCAATTCAACCTCTGGCTTTCTAATTAAAAATGATTAGTTAAACACATGTGCATCTTCTTCCTATTCTACCAACATCCTATTGAAATGACCATGTGATGGACAAAAGAGAAGATACGTGTCCATGCTGAGAACAGGATGCAAAACCTTCAGCAGACTAGAGGGCAGGAGATGGGAACACACTGGGATGTGTAGCCCAAACGATGCAAAGAACAGAGTTGAGGGTGAGATAGAAACCCCTCACAAAAGAAAGACACAAACCTAGAATCCCAGGCATGCATCACAAGCAACTGCAGTGCTATTAAAGGGCTGTTTATGGATCAGCTGGGCCAGTCAGCTTCCCTTCCTCCCATCCTGCAACTTCTGGCAGTAGCTGGCAGCAGTTATTTAAAAGACACCAGCCAAGCCGGTTCCTGAGTGAGTCCAACCACAGTCAGCCCAGGGCCAGCCTCGTGGTTCCCAATCTGTGGTACTGAGGGTCATGATCATTAATTACATTTCCAATGAAACAATAATTGCCTTTAGTAAACTACAGGAGCATAAGTAGAAGCGATATTGTAGTAAATGTCTCATATCATTACTTCTGCCAGAAATACCTCTGCCCTTGCATTTTCAAAAGATATTTGCTGCATCCTTTTCTGAAATACATTTTTATGATCTCAATTCCTTCAAAACCTAACTTTATTTTATTTATTTATTTATTTATTTATTTATTTATTTATTTATTTATTTGAGACAGAGTCTCGTTCTGTCACCCAGGCTGGAGTGCAATGGTGCAATCTCTGCTCACTGCAACCTCTGCCTCCCAGGTTCAAGCGATTCTCCTGCCTCAGCCTCCTGAGTAGCTGGGATTACAGGCACCTGCCACCACACCCAGCTAATTTTGGTATTTTTAGTAGAGACGGGGTTTCACTATGTTGGCCAGGCTGGTCTTGAACTCCTGACCTCAGGTGATCCACCAGCCTCGGCCTCCCACAGTGCTGGGATTACAGGCGTGAGCCACCTCGCCTGGCCCAAAAACCTAACTTTAATTATTTCCCTAGCCACTATACTGATCATTTTATTTAGTGCTTTTTTTACACCATTACATATACATATAAGGAAAACTGGCATCTTTTACGTATTTATTTATTTTTAACCTGTTTTCCTCTAAAAACTATTAAGGCAACTTCCAAAATATATTCTACATAATGAGATTAATAAACAAGCAAAGTAACTAAATCAGTAAGAAAATCTAGCTTGGATTGGTATGGGTTAAAAAATAAATACACAAAATATATCATGATATTTATTTGGTCTAATATAGGCTTCCCATGCACCCCCCTCTCCCCACCGCCCCCAGCCCCCTCCCCACCGCCCCCAACCCCCTCCCGAGAGGACAGGGATGCCCGGGTCCGAAGCCATGGCTGGGCAGCTGCCCTTGCGCCTGGGACTGCAGGGCTCCCTCCCCAGCAGCTCAGAAGCGGCCAGGGCTCCCGCCGGCTCCACAAAGTGCGCCGCCCTGCGGCGCCTCCCCTGCTGCAGCCGGCATCTTGGCAGCAGCCTGTCCAGATGGGCCACTGCCATCAACACCACCCAAACCGGTAATGTGGCTCAGCCAGTTCTGCGATCCCACCCAGGAACAGAAGGCAGCAAGAAAACCTCACTTTGATCCCCCTGTGATTCTATCTCCAACGTGACCAATCAGCACTCCCCGCTTCCTGAGCCTCTGCCATATTACCCTTAAAAACTCTGATCCCAAACGCTCGGGGAGACTGATTTGAGCAATAATAAAACTCCAGTCTCCCGCCCAGCTGGCTGTGCAAGAATGACTCTTTCTCTATTGCAATTCCCCTGTCTTGATAAATCAGCTCTGTCTAGGCAGGGGGCAAGGGGAACTTGTTGGGCGGTGGTGTATATATATTAATATATATGCACTCACACACACAAATATATGTAATATTTGCAACTGGAAGTAGAACAGGACCTCCTAATACAAAGACGAGCTCCTGTAGCATCAGGAGTCAGCAGCTCCCTGCCAGGTGGAGCCTCCGTTGTGGTCATACTATTGAGGGGGCCCCCACCTGAACGCCAGTCCCCGCCCCTGATTCAGCCATTTCGCAGATATTTATTCAGATGTTCCAGGAACTATTCTAAGGGCATCAGGTGCTGTTCTTGTCACAGGCAAAGAAAGCCCCAAAGGGAAGGTGTCTCTTCCGGCGGTGCCTGCCCCACCTCCAAGCCTGGCAGCTTTCGAAATTTATCTTAGGACATTTCCGACAGGTGTTGCTCTTCTTCAGCTTTGTCCTGGCATAATTTTGTCTCCCAGGAGCCTTCATTTTCTTCCTTCATTGATCCTACATGTGCTGTAGCTAACAGGAATTCCTCAGAGCTCGTAGCCTTTGGATAGCGTGGTTTCACGGTTGTCAACACTGATATGTTTATCTATACTTTGAGCTTCATGTAGTTTTTCATTAGGATTTTGTGAAATGCACAGGATGATGTAGGCTACAATGGTAGGTTCGATTAGCTATGTTCCTTGATGATTTCACAGTAACTTATATTTAAATAACCAAACTATTCAGATTTATGCTTCTATGATAAGAGATTTCAGTATTTTTGAATCAAACCATTTTAAGGGTTTTTTTTTTTTAATGAAACACTTACTTAAAATGATTACATAACTCTCCCCTTGCATGCCACATTTTAGGCAAAATTAAGAGCATATTCCTAAAACCCAGCTTACTAAATTGCTTCTCTTGATAGTTTTTTTTGTTTTTAACCGAGGAAGAATTTCTGATGGGAAGCTTTAATTATAGTGAGCTATGTACTAGCCAAGGAAGGCAATAAATTGAAAATATGCTGTTTAATTTTGTTGTTGTTTGTTTGGCTGGAGAACACTACAGTTTTATTTCTATTCATAAACCAGTGCTTCCCAACCAGGGCTGTTTTTGCCTCCAGGGAAGAAAATGTCTGGAGACATCTTGGGTTGTCAAAACTGGGGGTTGCTACTGGCACTTAGAGAGTACAGGCTATGGATGCTGCTAAGCATGCCATCTTGCACAGAACAGCCTGTACCCTCCCTTCTCCTCTGCAAGAAGAATTAAAAATTATCTGACTCAAAAGGTTAACACTGCTAAGATTAAGAAACTCTGCCATCGACCAGTGGAAGTAAAAATTGTAAGGATTTATTATTTCAAATCTATACAGCTTTACCTCACGAGTTTTACTTTTTCTAATTCTCTTTAGGGAAGTTTCTCTTCCCTCTCATTTTCCAAACGAAGTTGTGATTTTTGGCGTGAACTACTCCACCCCACAGCCCAGCTTCTGCGCTTGAAGATGTTGTGGATATGGGCTCCATGCTTGTAGTGGCGAACTTCGAGGCCTGTCACATGTCCTGCTACCCCAGACCACTCCATCACATGACCTGTGCATACACCTTACATCATTCTGAAATGCCCTTCACATATGCCCTCTTCCAGAATATAAAACATCTTCCTTGCATAAATACTTCCAAGGAAAGGCTGGCCACACTCTGACTACTTAAACTCCTTGAAGTTTTGTTCTATGAAAAACATAAATGGTGGTTCAGCTGGCAGCATCCTCAGTAACACTCTTGATATTTTCTATCCTCTAGTTTTCTCCATCTGTTTGAGAGAACACACTTTGGGTTATCTGGGGTCTATGCCAAAGGAGGCATTGTGGATAAGTGTGGCTCAGCCTTCCTCAACAAAAAATTACCTTTCAATTCAGGGCAGAAGCTTATGATATTAAAACTCATGTGGTTCCTCGAGAATCTCCTTAATACACTTTCCTCGTGAGCCAGGGGTGAGGGTAACTGGCAAAGCAATCAGGTCTTGGCGCCAACAAAATCCCATTTCTTCCCTGAAATACAAGGCCCATCAGGACGTGACATCTGTCTGTATTACTTCCTACTATATAATCCCCAGTAACTAGAACAAAGCAGTTAAACAATATTCAACAGTCAGAAATATATTTATCATATGCTGCTAAAAATACCCTCCATTTTCTAGCTCTCTAATCAGTTAACATGTGCACATTTAAACTACATCACAGCATTGGATTTGTTCTATCTGTCTGTATGGATACAATTGTGCTGCTGACAATTTAGTCAAGTGTTTCATCTCTATGTAGACAACCATCATGTAAGAATTAATGAGAATTTCCTAACATCATGGTGGCAACTGGCAGCTATTGCTCTGAAAATTTCTGGCTCTGAAAAATTTTAGGCCAACATGTTCACAGTAATGTTTTAGTTTAAAGAGCTTGGAAATGGGGTTTCCTGGAATGTATTGGAATAAACCATGTATTTTATTCCCAGTTTTGGGAGATATCTGCTTTCCTTACGTTCCCCAGGCTACCACCATCCAAAAGCAGAAAAGCCATTTAGGGAACCAAGAGTTTTAGTCAAGCTATTTAACTGTCATCAGAAATAAAGAAAACAAATCACCTCTACAGCCTTCTGGGTTAATTTTTATAAGGTGGTTTGTCTTCATTCAGTGGAAAAGAATAATATTAACTTCAGGTCATTGGCAGGTCAATAAAAGCTCTAAAGCTAAATTTTCACCAAAATCTCAGTTGAGATAAGTAATATTTAAGGATTATTTGGAAGAATAGGCTCCACTGATTTCTGTAATAACCAGAGATTTAATACTGGATTAATCCAGACCATCATATAACTCCATACTGAAGCCATATTGTCTTGATTGCCCAAGAAATTGCTTTTAAGAAATTGTCATATATTTATTGTCCAAAACGTGTTTATTATAGGGTTATTGTTGAAGACAATGTCCCCTTTATCGCTTGGTGACTCCAATGAAAGGCCCCAATAAACATTGCTCTCAGACTTGATTTTGACAACAAAACCTCTCACATAAAATACTGAAAGTATGAATGTTAGAATTCTTTTTTATTTCTGGGAAGCTGAGATACAAATACAGAAACAAAATTCAGTGACATAGATCTTTATCATATCTTGCATGGTCCTCTGAAATAGGAAGAAAACATTAAATTTTAACTTTTGACTTTAGGGTAAAAACATCACTTTTATACAAATCAAAAACAAACAAGAAAAGAACCCCATACAAATTATAAAGACAAAGGCTGACAAAATTGACCATAATAAAATAAAATTTCTGTGCAACAAGACACTAGGAATAAAAGTTTGTAAGAAAAGCTAGTGGGAACAAAAAGATATTCACAACATCATTGAAGATATAAAGATTGATATCCAAAATAAAAACCTCTTATTAAAAAAGAAAGAAAAAGTAAATGAAAGTACAAACAGATTAAGAAGAGAAAACATGGCCGGGCGCGGTGGCTCACGCCTGTAATCCCAGCACTCTGGGAGGCCGAGGCAGACAGATCACGAGGTCAGGAGTTTGAGACCAGCCTGGCCAACATGGTGAAACCCCGTCTCTACTAAACATACAAAAATTAGCTGGGTGTGGTGGGGGGCACCTGTAGCCCCAGCTACTCGGGAGGCTGAGGCAGGAGAATCACTTAAACCCAGGAAGCAGAGGTTGCAGTGAGCCGAGATCATGCCACTGCACTCCAGCCTGGCGACAGAGTAAGACTCCATCTCAAAAAACAGAAAAAAAGAGAGAGAAAAAACATTAATGACTAACAAATGTATCTAAAGATTCTCAGACTCATTAGTAGTCAAAAAAGTGTACATTATAGCAATGATGAGAGTGCAATTCTCTTTATCTGAACTGGTAAACATAAAAAAGTCAGACAAAATCAAGCATTACTGAAGTGACGATAAAGGAGTTATCTGGTGATGCTGGTGGGAAGATACAGCGGCTGTGAGAGGTGATTCTACAACATGACTTACAGGCGAGTACTCATGCGCACCCTCTGCCCCAGCAACCTGACAGCTCTTCCCCTGCCATCTTCCATGGTCCACACAAACATGCATGAGTGTGTCCTGGGCAGCTGCACCCTCACCTTTGTGCATCACAGCAGGGTCCACCTGCTCTGAGTCCTTATGACATGACGCTATTCTTAGTGTCCTGGTATGTTCCTGTCACTGTACAATGGCTCCCATAAGCCCTACTGCTGCCTGGAACAAAGAGAAACTTTGGTTATATAGTGTGTATTTGCATAAAGACCGTTTTCAAAGAGCAAGAAGAATATAAAAGAAATAAATCTGTGCCTGTATATAGACTCCCTAAAGCTGTCTCTGGCCTCCAGTTTAAAAACATCTAGAATCTAGCCAGGCCCTTGCCTTTCCTTGAAGCACACTTATCTGCCTAGAATTAGGTGTAAATAATTTTGTTCTATTACCCACCCCACGATTCTGAAGAACTGGCTCAAATGTACCCAAACTCTGGTACACATTTGTCAATGCTGCCTCTTACAGGACAAAAAAAAACTGAGTATTTTCTTTCAGACCCTCATACACTTTCCACATTGAAAATGTGGGATATTCTGTATTTCCACAAGCAGTTCTTTCTCTCTCCTTTGTCTCTCTCCTATTTTTCTTGAAACCCCTACTCTCTCACTCTGTGATTTGTCTAAATATAATAAAGATATAGGTACAAAAAATATTTTACTTTCCTCTTAATTCTACTATGAGAAGAAAGCATTAAGTTCAATGATAAAGGGCAGCTGGTAATTGAACTTAGGTGTAGGCAGAAAGACACTGGTAGGGATGAGGCAAACAAGAAAGTCTGTTTTCCATGTAAAGGGTGAAACAGTTTCTCAGCAATTGCTGAGATCAAGGATAAGCCCTACAAGTTTGGGCGGGAAAGAGGACTCTTATTACTCTGAGGGAATGCAGAAATCCCTCCGTTTTGTTGTTGTTTGTTTTCTCTGAGCCCTTGTGATCTGGCCCCCAAGAATTCCTGTGGTGGCAGCAGCAGGCGGTGCCTAGGAGAAACAAAACCCTGAGGCGAGGGCATCTTCCTCTCCAGTTGGTGCAGTTATGATCCCAAGAGGGTGATGCAAACTTTTTGAAGTCTTTTCTCATTTTGCCACCTGTCACCTGGCTCCAAACATGGGTGCAGCCATGAAACACTGTAGCAGAGTACCGTAATCAAAGACCCAGCATTCTGGCCAGAAAACAGAAAAGAGGAGCTCCAGGGAACCAGAAAATATTGGAGACACTGTGGAGAGGAAGGAGTATGAGAAAGTGACACCATAAAGTTTTTAATGGACTGAGCGCATCCCCAAGCTGCATGTGTGTGGATCTGCTCCTAATTAGTTAACCAAAGATTTTGAGAACGAAGCTAGCAGATTATCATCCGAGTTCCACACTGACCACCAGGACATATCTGAAGCAAACTGGAAAGGCTTTGAAAACTCAACTGATTGTTGGAACCACAGCTCACAAAACAGAGATTGGAACTTGCAGCTTGAATATGACAAGGTCAATTGCTTCTAAAACAAAAATAGCATCAATCCGCCTAATATTTTATGAAGACCCAGAGCCTCAAAACTTAATGTCCATGACACAATCCAAAATTACAAAAAAAACCAGATAAACTGCACCCCACATGAGAAAAGACAGTCAGTACTAAGTAGCTACCAATACTGAGAAGAAAAATAAATTTGAATTACATCACAAGGATTTTAAAGCAGCTTTTATAAAAATGTTCCAACAAGTGGTCGCAAACACTTTTTTTTTTTCTTGAGACCGCGTCTCACTCTGTCACCCAGGCTACAGTGCAGTGGCGCAATCTAGGCTCACTGCAACCTCGGCCTCCCGGGTTCAAACGATTCTCCTGCCTCAGCCTCCCAAGTAGCTAGAACTACAGGCATGCGCCACCACGTCCAGCTAATTTCTGTATTTTTAGTAGAGAAGGGGTTTCACCATGTTGGCCAAGATGGTCTCGATCTCTTGACCCCATGATCTGCCCTCCTCGGCCTCCCAAAGTGCCGGGATTACAGACGTGAGCCACCATGCCCGGCCGCAAACACTTTTATACCAATGGAAAACTAGAAGTATCAGAAAATAAATAGAAGATGTAAAAAGGAACAAAATGAATATATTAGGACCAAAAAATCCAATAACTGACATACAAAATTCTAAGTAAGCTTTTTATTACAATAAAACTAAAGAGGTAAGGATCTGTTATCACGACTATAAATCAACAGAAATTATCTAATCTGAACAATAGAGAGAAAGAAAGATGAAAAAGTCTTGATTAGAGCCTTAGAGACTTGAGGAACAATAACTAAAGTTCCAACATACATGTCATCTGAGTCTCAGAAGGAGAAAAGGAAAAGGAGTGCAGTGCTGAAAAAATTTTGAAAACCTAACAGGAAAAATTACCCAAATTTGGCAAAAGGCAAACATTAATTGAACTAAAAGAAGAAATAAACAAATGTACAATTATGATTAGATAATTCAACACTCCTCTCTCGCTAATAATTAGTGAACATTTGAAATTAATTGATGGTAAGTTTGATTAATTCTGAGATTTTTAGCAGTATTGTTTATCACATAGAATTAACAGATCATTTCTGTATAGCAGGCAAAAATGCATTCTGAGCCACATGTAATAGTTCATCACACAAAATGTTGAGTTAATGCCAGTCAGAATGTCTCTCTTCTTCCAGTACAGGGATTACAAAATAATGGCAAGACCTAAGGTCATGTATGCAGTGATGCACTAAGTACCTTAAATAATAGGACATGAGATTGCAAGCACAATGCAGTCACTATGAATGAGAAAATTATGTAAGAGCTCAAGTTCATGTGCTGAGGAGGCTTCTGAGAAGCCTTAAAGGATATCTGGCCAATTCAGCTGTTACTGGGTTAGACTATTAATTGTCTTATTGCCTTAACTCTCATCAAAAAAAGACTGTTCTGCAGGCTTTTTTTACTGTGGGCAAGTGATTAACAACACCCCAGCTAGAAAATTCTTCCTGATGTCTGTCCTGAGTCTCTCCTGATCTAACAAGCAACGGTATACAAGAACTTATCAACTCCATCATCAATTACAAAAAAAAATTAAGTTGTCATAATCATAGTATATGATTTAAGGATTTACTAAAATGCAATGGTAGTGAAGCTATCAGAGGATGGAGGAACCTCCGTTTCACCATCTGGTTGTTCCTCTTTGTTCCCTTTAGGTTAGTCTGAGCCAAAACACCCAACACTAATCACAATGCTTTGTCCATTTCAGCAGGCATAATTCCTTACAACAACAAATAAAATAATTCCTAAGTATTTATTTCATAAAATAAATGTATTAGATATTTTGGCCTCACAAAAATAAGAGATAGAGTCTACTCAAAACAGTGTTTTGTGTATGATTTTCATAAATTTCAAATTAGAATGTAAAGTTTATCATATCTCTTCCATTTGTTAGGATAGTGTTAGTAACATTTATAAAATCATTTTCTTTCTCCTGTACTTATTTGACATAAAATGTGTCATTCTCTGAGAATATAAGATGAAATCATTCCACAGAAGAATTACTTATATTCAGAGTTATTTATGTGTAACAGTACTCCATAAATTCCCTTTGAGGGCCTTGTTCCATTCAGCAAGAAGAATGTCTTGATGGTAGGCAAAATTGTACGTAAGTTAAAAGTATGAAATTTGAATCAAGCTCTGCCATTGAATTGTCACGTGAACCTGGAACAACATAACCTCTCCCTGCCTTAGTTTCTCTATTTATATAATGGTAAGTATAATAAAAGTATACTTCAAGGGCTTTTGCAAGCACTATATGAACCAATAGATCTAACACATTTAGAACGGTAACTTGATATTTTAGGCACCTTGTAAGTTATTGTTATTATCTGCAATTGTATCTACCCAAAAGCTAGAATCCCTCTTCTTGGCCCCCAAATTCCTATGACATGTCTATAAATATCTTCTAAATATATTTATTCATTTTATGCATGCATTTACTTGTATTCTGAATGCCTTTACATGTGCCAGGCATTGTCTAGGTGTTGGAGAAACTAAGACTGACTTGAAGGAGATATTTACTTAAAAGAAATAGCTGTAATGGGTATAATTTGCAGAGGGGGAGAACCCTGTGAAAAAGAGAGTAATTAGAAAACTTCATTTTGAATATAAAGAGAAAAAACTTTTCTGAGTTCATGAAAGAATTATTGATATCATCAACAATAAAGAGCATATGCTAACATTTATATTTCCTAACTATTCTACATACCTATATTTATATAGATTTCAGCTAACAACTGGGCCTCAGTTCTACTATGACATATTGCTAAAAGCATTGATTATATAAGTTCATATTATATGCAGTGTTTGCATGAGATAAAACTTTAAGACAAAAAAATCTGCTCCAAAAAGTGCCTTGGTCTTCGTAGCTTATTCAAGACATTTATTTTATATTCTGCAGACTGTGGAACATCTGTTTATTAATGCAGCTTTATGATATGTTGTAAATTGCCTTAACAGAAAATATGAAATTGCACATTCGAGCCCAGATTTTCTTTTCATCCTCTTGTGTTCAGCTTGGCAAAAGGCTGATACTGCCAGAAAAAGAAAGAAAACTTTGTTCAAAATTGAAGTTAATACTTTCTTGGAGAAATAACTACTAACTAAAGACAAATACTTGATGAGACTATTTTAATGTATCTATTGTCCTTATTATGTAGGATATAATTTCTTACTTTAACATATGATGATTTTATTTCAAAGCCATTTTGACTGAATGACTTTCAAGGTTATTTTGCAAATCATAATAATTTAAATACTTAAGGAAGCTAGTCAAAAATTTGAAATTAATTGATGGTAAGTTTGATTAATTCTGAGACTTTTAGCTGTATTATTTATCACACGGAAGAGAAGATCATTTCTATATAGCAAACAAAAATGCGTTCCGAGCCATATGTAATAGTCCATCACACAAAATGTTGAGTTAATGCCAGTCAGAATGTCTCTCTTTTTCAAGTACTGGGATAACAAAATAATGGCAAGACCCAAAATCGTGTGTGCGGTGATGCACTAAAATACCTTGAATAATAACAGATGGGGCCGGACGCGGTGGCTCACGCCTGTAATCCCAACACTTTGAGAGGCCGAGACGGGCAGATCACGAACAATGCCTGGCCCCACACTGGAGGGCACAGTGAACCAGGTTCCACTGGCCAAGAGTCACTCGTGTAGGTGTCTCTGAGCTAGGAGATGTGTACTAATTCCTAACAGGCAAGAGTTTAGGCCGGCATTGGCCATCAGAGAGGATGAGAGAAAAAATTTGTCTTATTTATGGAGCTAGCATAAGAGGAAGCTAGAGCTTTACTAAATGTGAAAATTTAAGTTGATGTATATTCTACATCCTGAACACCCAGTGACAAACTGATGTTCCAATATCTGTTTATACAACGTGTGTGTTATCATTACACTGGCAAAATGGATGATATGTTTGCCTTATTTCAAATCACTAAGTTTTGTATTATGGTGATATACTCATACTGCTTTCTTATCAACTCAGAAATCCATTATACAAAATCCACTTTTTATGGCCATCTAAATCCTTTATTCAGTACCATCAGCCTGGGACATGTTAATATATTTCTGCTAGACATACCACCCAGACTTGAAATGCATAGGACACTAAGCACATAGTGGTAGCAGCATGTTTTCCTTTAATAAAAAGACATTATTTTGGGAGGCAGTTTTACATTTACAAGAAAATTGAGCAGACAATACAGAGAGTTCCTTAAACCCTCCTTAGCTCATCATGCCTATTATTAAGATATCTTGCATTCGTCTGGTGTATTTGTTACAATTAATGAGCCAATATTGATACATTATTATTATTAACTAAAATTAACAGTTTCATTAAGGTGCACTGTTTGTGTTGTATATTCTATGGGTTTGGAAAATGTGTAATGTCATATATCCACCATGACATTTTACAGAATGGTTTCACTGCCTTAAAAGTCCCCTGTGCTCCACCTATTGATCCCTCCTTCTCCCTGCAAATCCCTGGCAACAACTGTACTTTTCATTGTCTTCATCGTTCTGCCTTTTAAAGAATGTCATATAGTTCGGCTTACACAGTATGTAGTCTTTTCAGATCGGCTTCTTTCACTTAGCGATGGGCTTTTAAGGTTTTTTTTTTTTTTCCATGTCTTCTCATAGTTAAATAGTGTGTACCTTTTTATCACTTAATAACATTCTATTGTATGAGTGTACCAGAGTTTGTTTATCCATTCACTTACTGAAGTTGCTTCCACCTTTGCGCAATTATGAATAAAACTCCTATAAACATCAATGTGCAGATTTTTGTGTTGACCTCAGTTTTCCATACCTTTGGTTAAATGCCAAGACACAATTACTGGATCTTATAGTGACAGTATACTTAGTTTTGTGAGAAACCACTTCCCTTCCAAAGTGGCTGTATGGGGTTGTATGGGAAATATTTGAATTAACATCCAAATCACACAATCTTTTTGTTACACTTTAAGCATTAAGAGATTTGTTGTCATAGTTACCTTGGGAGTTAGTGGCTTCTGAGGAGTTGACAAGGGCTCTTGGTAATGTGGTGCATATTAACGTTAACAGGTTATATTAATGAATAAACAATGCATGAACTATGAAATGTAAGACCATGCAGAGTATATTATTAATAAATAAATAATGATTCTGTACTACGTATTTATCTTTTGACAGAGAGGTGCACAACAAAAACAAATGTTGATATTCTTGAAAATTTTCAAGTCAAGTCTCAACAATTAAATATAAATTTTGTCTTTCCATGTAAGTGATAGACTAATGAATCTACAGATTTGCAAGTTTATAAGCCGAAGTGAATGAGTGCCTCCTTCTGAAAATTATTATTGGGCTTATGAGTTTATAAGCGCATGCATTTCACCCTGGTTGGCCTAAGCTGGCAATTTCCTCCAAGTGGGCATATTAGGAATACCAAATGTCACGAACAGACTGCAAAGAGAGAGAGGAAGGGAACATTTAGCTTCTGACAGCTGAACACAAGAAAAGGGTCCAACCAAGTTTCCTGGGAAAGCTGGAGGTTACAAACATCAGATGACCAATACCTAACTTCTCTTGTTTATTTTAATTCTTCTGTTTTAATAGATAATATTTCATTTTGACATTTTAAGGAACATTTCTGTGTCTCTGTTCTGGCCCCTGATGTTACCTTTGGAGACTAGGGGGAAGAGAGAGGGAGTAATTAATATATTTATAAGAACATATTTTTGAGTAAGAAGAATATGCATGAGTTAATATTTATTAATATATTTTTATTAATCCAAATATATTCACAAGAAATTATTTATATTTAAGAATATACTCAATAACATATATGTAAAATATGTTATTCAGGAGTGCGTTCTTAATTCACATGTTCTTTGTGCCACATGTGTCCACTGATTTCTGTGGAAGATTCATAAAAACGATATGTAAGGTATCCGAACTGCTGAAAACCACAGACAATGAGAAAAATCTCGAAGGCAGCTAGAGGAAAAATTAAGCATTTACATCAAGCATTTATCAATGAGAAGAATATATTCATCGGAAGAATTGTATTAGTCCGTTCTCACGCTGCTAATAAAGGCATACCCGAGACTGGGTAATTTGTAAAAGGGAGGTTTAATTGACTCACAGTTCAGCATGGCTGGGGAGGCCTCAGGAAACTTAAAATCATGGCAGAAGGGGAAGCAAACATGTCCTCCTTCACATGATGGCAGAAAGGAGAAGTGCTGAGCAAACGGGGGAAAAGCCCCTTATAAAACCATCAGTTCTCATGAGAACTCACTCACTATTATGAGAACAGCAGCATGGAAGTAACCGCCCCCATGATTCAATTACCTCCTACTGGGTCCTTCCCACAACACATGGGGATTATGGGAACTACAAGTTAAGATGAGATTTGGGTGGGGACACAGCCAAATCATATCAAGAATATATTTTAAAAATAAATCATTTTATTCAAGAATAAACTCATATAAATATGTTTATCTTTTGCACCATCAGTTTTTCCTTTTTTCTTTTAGCTTCCATCTGTCAAAGCAGAAAGCCAGGTCAGAGATAGACCAGCCATCCCTTCACATTTGCTGAGACTATGACACAAGAAAATTAGTCAACCTTAAATAGTTAGCAGAAACAAATTTAACAAAATAGTCATCAGTAAATTGGCCACTCAGCAAAGTGGCTTTGTCAGTGGACCTGGTCGAGAGAGCTAGGACCTGCTGCCACAGAAACTGCCTTGGTCAGGTGAAACAACCCCACAGCAGTAAGTGTAGGTAGAAAATCAGGACTGAAGCAATTACACATGTTGTCATTGACCTTTCCATCTGCAGGGGACAATGCAGTGAAACCCTGCCACCTTTCCACAGGCTAACTCTCAGAGGAATAAAAAAAAAGTCATCTGCAGGTTGATTTGGGCTAAGGAATGATCTTTCATCATTCAACTTTTGATGTTCAAAAGTATGCTATTATATTTGTGCACATGTGAAATGAAAGAGAAAGGAGCTTGGACACATGAAAACCAAGGAAAGAAAAACCTAATTTGTTTTACTAATAAAGAATAACAGAAAAAAGGGTAATACCAATTTCACTTGCTTCTATGTCTCTTTTCTATGCCCTCAGGAAGTACAATTTACCACTTTGGGAAGCTTAGGAGGGAGCATCGCTTAAGACCAGGAGTTCAAGACCAGCCTGGGCATCATATAGATGTCTCTTCTAAAAGCACTACTAATGCAATAAAATGTATTCTCGTTGAAAATTACATCTGCAGAGAATAAAACAGGAAAAATCTGCTGTCTTTTCACACTCAATTGTTTATCTTCTGATCTGATTCATCTTGCCATTGTATGTTGCATATAAGTTGTAATAAACTAAAATTTAACATATTGTGGTATATATACACCGTGGAATAGTAGAATACTATGCAACTATAAAAAAGAATGAGATCATGTCCTTTTCAGGAACATGATGAAGCTGGAGGCCATTATCCTTAGCAAACTAACAGAGGAACTGAAAACAAAATACCGCATCTTCTCACCTACAAGTGGGAGTTAAATGATGAGAACACATGGATACATAGAGGGGAACGACACACACTGGGGCCTACCTGAGATTGGAGGGTGGGAGGAGGGAAAGGGGTACAAAAAATAACTATTGGTTACTAGGCTTAATACCTGAGTGATGACATAATCTGTACAACAAACCCCTATGACACGCGTTTACCTATATAACAAACCTGCCCATGTAACCCAAACTTAAAATAAAAGTTTAACATATAAATATATATATAGTGGCATTTTGGACAGACATTTACATATAGAGATGCATGAATACATAGATCAATAGATGTATGTATTCACGGGTTATTAGGAATGCAAATATGCATTTAAAAATAGGGTTTCCAGCACTTTGGGAGGCCGAGGCGGGAAGATCACGAGATCAGGAGATCGAGACCATCCTGGCTAACACAGTGAAACCCTGTATCTATAAAAATACACACAAAAAATAGCCAGGCATGGTGGTGGGCACTTGTAGTCCCAGCTACTCAGGAGGCTGAGGTAGGAGAACTGCTTGAACCTGGGAGGTGGAGGTTGCAGTGAGCTGAGATCATGCCACTGCACTCCAGCCTGGGTGACAGAGTGAGACTCCATCTCAAAAAAAAAAAAAGGATTTCTGGGCATTTTTGGTTGTCGTTTTGTCTGTTTTGTTTTTATCTATTGACACTAGCAGGAAGGCTTACTTTTTTATAGTAGGTATATATTTCAAACCATAGTCTTAGGTCTTGTGACATAGTTAAAGGAAACATCATAGAAGAGCTCAGAGATGTAAAATAGAGCCATTTATGATGGTTTTGAGAACCTGTAATGATACATATATGTTAATTTCATTTAGGTTTTCTGCGTTTGGAACTGTGTACAGGTAAGATGCTCTAAGCTACCATATAGCAAAATTTAAATGAAAATTACCATTACACTTATTTAGCTCCAAATAATTTAATAACTATTACTGGGTTGTTACTAGAAAGAAAAACAGCTCACTGTAATAGTTAACGAAGCAAAGCAGTCCCAATCAAATCTTGCATTGCTCTGACACGTGTTTTGCTAAAGGAGAGGGAGAGGCATTTTGTTGTATTTCCAGCTGGCTTCCTGGGGAAACAGAACACATTTGGAGAATGTGTTCCCCTTTGTTAATTGTGACACATGTGTCCAGTGACCCCCGATGAAGAACTCTTAAAATGATATGGAATGTGTTCAAATTGCTGAAAACCAGAGACAAAGAGAAATCAACACAAAAACTGAAAATCTCTCATTTTTCTCAAAAGAGAAACATCTTGAGGAAGCTAGAGGAAAAAAGGCATTATCAAACAAGAAACAAGGTTAAGAATGGGAGCTGACTTCATATCAGAAACCATGCAAGCAAGAAACAAAGTGACACTTTTGAAGTCATAAAAGAATTTTTAAAAACCTATCAATCCAGAATTCTATAACCATTGAAAAATTCTTTAAATATTTGTTAATTACTCTGGTGTCTTTGAATTAAGGTGAAGTTGAATTCCCCTCATGTGGCTTGCAAGTTAGTCTTGTTTTTGTGGTTTGGGTTTTTGTTTTTGAGATAAGGTCTTCCTCTGTCATCCAGGCCGAAGTGCATTGGCACAATCACAGCTCACTGCAACCCCAACATCCCAGACTCAAGTGATCCTCCCACCTCAGCCTCCCACATTGCTGAGACTACAGGTGCACTCCACCACACCTGGCTAATTTTTGTAACTTTTGTAAAGATGGGGTTTCACCATGTTGCCCAGGCTGGTTTTGAACTTCTGGGCTCAAGCAATCTGCCCACCTTGGTCTCTCAAAGTCCTGGAATTACAGACATGAGCCACTGTGCCCAGTCTTGCAGGTTGGTCTTAATGACTGACTTTTAAGAAATGGAATATGGAAAAGTAAAAACTGTAGTTTTGTAGTGGAAGAAACCATCAAGTCACCAACACAGCCAAGTAATCAAGGTTAACATCAACAATGAAAAGTCATATGGCTACCTCACACCACCGTGACACAATGGGAAGGTCACTTCAGCTATGTGAAATTCTTCCTCAAAATTTACAACCCCACTTTAATCAAGAGAAAACATCAGATGAACTCAAATCATTTGATGCACATTCTAAAAAAATATCTGGTCAGTGGTCTTCAAGGTGTCAAAGCCAGGAAAGACAGAGAGATTGTCCCTAATTGAAGTAGACTAAGGAGACATGAAGACTAAACACAATATGAGATCCTGGATGGTACCTGGGAACAAAGAGAAGAAATTAGTTAAAAACAAAAACAAAAACAAAAACAAAAACAAACTGGTGAAATGTGGGCCGGGCACGGTGGCTCACTCCTGTAATCCCAGCACTTTGGGAGGCAAGGCAGGTGGATCACCTGAGGTCAGGAGTCTGAGACCAGCCTGGCCAGCGTGGTGAAATCCCATCTCTACTAAAAATACAAAAATTAGCCGGATGTGGTGTTGGGCACCTGTAATCCCAGCTGCTCGGGTGGCTGAGGAATGAAAATCACTTGAAACCAGGAGGTTGAGGTTACAGTGAGCCAAGATCGCACCACTGCACTCCAGCCTAGGCATTAGAGTGAGACTTCCTCTCAAAAATGAAAAACTGGTTAAATATAGCCTGTCATTTAGGTAATAGTATTGTACAATGTTAATTTCTCGTTTTTAATAAATGTGCCATGGTAACGTAAGAGGTTAACATCAGAAGAAACTAAGTGAAGAGTGTATAGGAACTGTCTTTACCATCTTTGCAACTCTATGTAAATCTAAAATTATTCCAGAGAATGACTTCACAAGGTGGCAGAATAGAATTTCTCCAGCTCCACACCCCCACACGGAAATCCAACTAGCAACTATCCACAGGCAAGAATACCTTTCTGAATATCCCAGAACTCAGGAGTGAGACTGAGACACCCAATTGTACTGCAGAACTAAGAAAAGCTGTGCTTTGAAGGGTAAGAGGAACAGTTCATTTTGAGCATGTCACCCCTCCACCAAGCTGGCACAGCACGACACACAGAGGATTTCACCAGACCCACAATTTCTACAGTGGGAAAAGAAAGTTGGAGGTGGACATTCAGCTTGCCCACCATTCTAGGACCCTTCACAGGAGGCTCATCCTTGTCTTATACCACAGGAAACATTAGGAGTGCCATCGGGGCTAGACCACCTGGAGTCAGCTAGAAACAAAGAATGGGAGTAGATCTCACAGAGACTAGCATGTAGTTAGTCTGCATTCTGGCTAATGGAGGCATCATATGAGAGAGACTAGCCAACAGCATTGTACCGCAGGAAGTACAGCTCACAGATGTACCCAGCTCGCATCCCTCGCCAGCTTTCCTACATAGACCTGGTGCTTTCTACAGCATTGCCCAGGCTAGAAGGCAAGTGAAAGTCAGCACTTCTCTGCAGAGGGTACATCTGGTCCCCACCCAGCACCAGCAGCTGACCAGGGACTCCACTAAGCTTTGTTTAAGCCTACCTTAGGCCAGGAGACAAGATCAAGTCCGCACATATGTGTGGGGCATAATGGCTTCTAGCCCTGATCAGCCCTGTGTAGCTGAGCAACAACACCAGAGTCTTTAGTAGACCATAGAGCTCAGCACAAAGGCCTGCTCAACTATAGATTCTAAACAACAATACCATCCAACCAGCGGAGACAGCCTACAATCCTGCTGGATCAGAGTGAACTGCAGAGTCCAGTTAGCAGTACCATTCAACCTTAGGTCTCAGGAAGTGACACAGCCCAACTAGAGAACCTGACACCAAGCTCTGCCCGTCCAGGGTCATTGCCAGCTAACACATCCAGAATCCCTTCCTACGAAGTAGTAAAGATCTGTCAAAGCCTGGAAGAGGTGGCCGTCTCCTCAAACACAGAAGCATCAATGCAAGACAGAAGTATTATGAAAAGTCAGGGAAATATGACACCACTAAAAGAAAATAATAAAGATCAGATAATAGCTCTGGAATATAAGGTGATCTATAAAATGACTGACAAAGAGTTCAGGATAACCCCCTTAAAGAAGTTCAGGGAACTCCAGTTAAATTAAATTAAGTTTGAAACCAATTCATGAACAAAATGAGAAATTGACAAAGAACTAGAGATGATAAATAGAAACCAAATAGAAATCTGAGGTATAAAGAATACAATAGTTTAACTGAAAATGTCAATGGAAAGCTTTGACAGCAGACTTGATCAAGCAAAAGAAAGGATCACTGAATTCAAAGATAGGTATATTGAAATTATCCAGTCTGAAGAGCAAAAAGAAAAAGAATAAAGGAGGCCTACAGGAATTATGAGATACCATCAGGCAAACTAATATTCACATAATCGGAGATTCAGAAGAAGATAGAGAAGAAGGCCCAAAAAGGATATTTAAGAAAATGGCTGAACATTTCCCCAATCTGGGGAAAGATGACAACATCTAAATACAGGAAGCTCAAAAGTCTCCAATCAAATTCCACTCAAAAAGGAATTTACCAAGATAAAACATAATCAATTTATCAAAAATCAAAGACAAAGAAACAAAACTGAAAGCAGCAAGAGATAAGAAACATATCACATTCAAGAAACCACAATATGACTTTCAGTTGACTTCTTAGCAAAAACTCGGCAGGCCAAGAGAGATTGGGGTGATATATTCAAAGTGCTGAAGAAAAAGAACTGCCAACCAGGAATTTTTTACTTGGCAAAGTTGTCCTTAAAAAATAAGAGAGAATTGGCTGGGCAGGGTGGTTCACGCCTGTAATCCCAGCACTTTGGGAGGCCTAGGTGGGCAGATCACGAGGTGAGGAGATCAAGACCATTCTGGCCAACACGGTGAAACCCCATCTCTACTAAAAATACAAAAATTAGCTGGGTGTGGTGGCATGCACCTGTATTCCCAGCTACTTGGGAGCCTGAGGCAGGAGAATCACTTGAACTTGGGAGGGAGAGGTTGCAGTGAGCCAAGATTGCAGCAGCAGAGCAAGACTCCATCTCAAAAAAAAAAAAAGATAAAAAAAGAAATAAGAGAGAATTCCAACTTCCCCAGACAAACAAATCCTAAGGGAGTCTATTACATTATCCCTGCTTTACAGGAATGGCTAAAGGCAGTTCTTTAAGCTGAAATGGAAGGTTTCTACTTAATAACAAAAAAAAATGCATGTAAAAATCTCAATAACTCAATGGTATTAAGTAATACATAATCAAACTCATTCTCTAACACTGTATGGGTGATACATAAAGCAATCGTATCCTTACTGTGATGATTAAAAGGAAAAACTATTAAAAGCAACTGTAGCTGCAATTGTTAAGGAATACAAATTACAAAAACAAATTAAAAATTTTACATCAAAATTATAAAAGGGGGGAGTGAGAGTATGAGATTAAAGTTCAATTATTATCAGCTTAATGTAGCATGTTATAAAGCTCAGATATTTTATGTAAGCCTCATGGTAACCACAAAGCAAAAAGAAAACAACAAGAGAGAAATAAAGAAAGAGGGACTTACAAAAAATTCAGAAAATGAATGACAAAACAGCAGTAGCAAGTGCTTACCTATCAGTAATTACTTTGAATGTAAACAGATTAAATTCTCCAACCAAGAGACTCAGGACAGCTGAATAAATTTTCTTTTTAAAGAACCATATGCTGCCTACAAGAGACTCACTCTACTAGTGAGGACACATACAGACTGAAACTGAAGGTATGGAAAAAGATACTCATTGCAAATAGACACCAACAGAGACCAGGAGTATCTATATTTATATCAATCAAAATCGTCTTTAAATCAAAAACTGTAAAAAGAGATAAAGAAGGTCATTAAATAATGAGAAAGGGGTCAGTTCACCAAGAGGGCATAACAGTTGTAATTATATATGCACCCAACATCAGAGCACCTAAATACGTAAAGCAATTATTAAATGACATGAAGGGATAAATAAATGGCAATACTACAATATTATGGAACCTCAACACCGCTCTTTCAAAAATGTCCATACAACCCAAAATGATCTACAGTGTCAATGTAATCTCTCTCAAAATTCCAATGTCATTTTTCACAGCAATATAAAATATCCTTAAATTTATGTGGAATTCAAAAGACCCTAAAGAGTCAAAACGATCTTGGGCAAAAGGAAAAAAGCTGGTGTCATTACACTCCCTAATTTCAAAAATCTTATGAAGTTATTGTAATGAAAATAGCATGACACTGGCATAAAAATAAGCTGACTGATGAAACAGGATAGAAAGCCCAGAAATCAACCCATGCATGTATGATCAATTGATTTTTGACCAAGGTGCCAAGAACACACAATGGGGAAAGGACAATATCTTCAAAAAATAGTGTGGGGAAAACTAGCTATCCACATGAAGGAGAATGAAATCAGATCCATATTTTATACCACATACAAAAATCAACCCAAATGGATTAAAAATCTAAACATAATATCTGAAACTGTGAAACTACTAAAAGAAAACAGAGAAAAATCCCCACAACATTGGCTGGGGCAATGATTATTTGGATATGACCCCAAAAGCACAGGCAACAGAAGCAAAAAGCAAAAAGAGAGAAATAAAATGGCATCAAACTAAAAAGCTTCTTCACAGCAAACCTTTAAAGTGAAGGGACAGCCCACAGAACGGGAAAAAATATTTGCAAACTATACAGCTAATAAAGGGTCAATATCCAAAACATAAGAAACTCAAACAACACAAATACCATCAGTCTAAGTTGGTGAGCCCTTTCAAACTGCAGCTCACTTTATTTATTTATCTATTTTTTTTGAGACGGAGTCTCGCTCTGTGGCCCAGGCTGGAGTGCAGTGGCGTGATCTTGGCTCACTGCAAGCTCCGCCTCCCAGGTTCACGCCGTTCTCTTGCTTCTGCCTCCAGAGTAGCTGGGACTACAGGTGCCCGCCACCACACCCGACTAATTTTTTGTGTTTTTAGTAGAGACGGGGTTTCACCGTGTTAGCCAGGATGGTGTCCATCTCCTGACCTTGTGATCTGCCCGTCTCGGCCTCTGAAAGTGCTGGGATTACAGGCGTGAGCCACTGCACCAGGCCTTTTTTTTTTTTTTTTTTACTTTAAGTTGTGGCGTACGTGTGTAGAAAGTGCAGGTTTGTTACATAGGTATACATGTTCCATGGTGGTTTGCTGCACCTTTCCACCCGTCATCTAGATTTTTTTTTTTCCCTGAGACGGAGTCTCGCACTGTCATCCAGGCTGGGGTGCAGCGGCACGATCTTGGCTCACTGCAAGCTCTGCCTCCCAGGTTCACGCCGTTCTCTTGCTTCTGCCTCCAGAGTAGCTGGGACTACAGGTGCCCGCCACCACGCCCGACTAATTTTTTGTATTTTTAGTAGAGACGGGGTTTCACTGTGTTAGCCAGGATGGTCTCGATCTCCTGACCTCGTGATCCGCCCGCCTCGGCCTCCCAAAGTGCTGGGATGACAGGCAGGAGCCCCCGCGCCCGGCCCCATCATCTAGGTTGTAAGCCCCACAGGCATTAGGTATTTCTCCTAATACCCCCTCCCCTTGCCCCCCAACCCCGTAACAGGCCCCAGTGTGTGATATTCCCCTCCCTGTGTCCATGTGTTCTCATTGTTCAGCTCCCACTTAGGAGTGAGAACACGCAGTGTTTGATTTTGTGTTCCTGTGTGAGTTTGCTGAGAATGATGACTTCCAGATTCATCCATGTCCCTGCAAAGAACATGAACTCATTCTTTTTTATGGCTACATAGTATTCCACTGTGTATATGTCCCACATTTTCTTTATCCAGTCTATCATTGGTGGGCATTTGGGTTGGTTCCAAGTCTTTGCTATTGTAAATAGTGTTGCAATAAACATACATGTGTATGTGTCTTTAGAGTAGAATGATTTATAATCCCTTGGGTATATACCCAGTAATGGGAATGTGCAGCTCACATTTTTAATTTGCTCAGAGTTTTCTTCTCTTTGGATGCATAGTCATTGTCTCTGCTTCTTTTTCTTTTTCAGAATTTTCAGATTTGTGTAAATTTCCTCTATCGATTGCCACGTCACTTTCATTTTCCATCCCAACTTTGTCTCTTAGTATTTTTGCTCTGAGACTTGAAATGGTCCATCTTTTCCTTTGCCGGTCTCCAAGCCCTCCTCTAGCCCTGAGGTAGGAAAGCCCACAATAGCTCTCCTACCACTCTCAGGCCTTCATCTGCCTGCTGACGGTCCAAAAACGTCTTGCTTCAGGAGCACAGGTTGGAGTTAGAAGTGAAATTAGAGGCAAATTAGAAGATTGTAAACTATTATTTCCCCAGAACCGCACAGAATCGGCAGCTACATTAAATTTCTTACCCACAGAGCTGATTTTAGAAATACGTAACTGCAGACATTTTTAATGGTGACTGTCCCGTTAAAAGGTAATAGGAATGCATGTTTCCCCATTAAAGGACTTGCCTTGTTCCATTAAAAGGTAATGGGGATGCACGTGTGTGTGTGTACATGTGTGTGTGTTATTATCCACCAAAAAGCAGCAAAAGTTTTTTATATATTTTAAAGAAAATAATAGGAGAAGGGTTTTGTCATGCTATACTTAGAATTCTGAACATCATAACTTTTATTACAATGTATGTTTTAAGGTTAAAAAACAGTATTATTTAATGTGGTAAACCTTGGTAAATGACATTCTATTTATAATATATATTTTATATTCATAATTATGTTATACTCTTATATGCAATATTCAACACTAATATAATTTGTTTTATGGTACACCTGGCACGTAATTCTCTCATATCTTGGAGGTGATTCACATACATTTTTCTAATTCTGTCCTGACTAGTCTTCCTATTAACTGTTTAAAGAACTTTATACTCCACTATGGAAATCCTTCTTTTTAATAAATAAATGTGCTTTATGTAGTATTTCCATAAATAGTTTTAAATTACACCTGGACCATGACTGATACAGAAATATGTACATACACACATATCTATATCTATATTTATATGTATAAACATATGTACACATATCTATATAGAGAAATGTATTTCTATCTGTCTTTCCTATTGGATGTCTTGAAACTCCATCTTTGGGTTCCTTTCTTTTAACTTAAAACCTATTTTTCCTACTAAAATGTAATGAAAAAAATAAAACCAACTGGGAGAACTAATAGTTGGCATTTTCTTACTAATTTATGCCTCAGTGGGACAATATTTTATCAACTCTTAGCATGGAAAAACAAATACACTTTGGTTTTGACAGAAAAAAAGGAGAAAAAACATTAAGCATCTCAGGCAAGAAAGGGATGGGAAAAGCGTGATTTGGGTGAAGCTTAGTAGTGAAGTAAATGTCACATGGTAGCCTAAGAAGCTGAGGACAATTTTCACTTGCATGACAATTTTTAGTAGAGTTGTTTAGTAACTTTAAAAACAGATTTAATACATTTTTTCTCTTAAAAAATCTACAGCAAGAAATCCAGAAGCCAATAAAATTTCTATCATTTCAATCCAGAATTCTTTCAATTGTTTCAGGTTATGGAGGCATTGGCCCATAAAATATTTTGCCCGATAATGTTTTCCAAAAAGGGAAATCTTTTCTGCTCTCATCAACAACAAAATGTCTGGAAGAAAAAAGAAATATTAAGGAATAAAAATTTGGCTGAAGAGCCTCTCTACTTAAAGGAATGAAAGGTGTTTCAAAAAGTTACTAACAATAAGCACAAAAACAATTAAACATTAAATGTAGAAACAATTAAAAGAAATATTTCATGATTTTCTGTAGCTCTTATTGGCAATCAAAAACCAGAAAACAAAAGCAGCAGGGGGGAATGCAAGAATAAATGAAGTGCAGAGAAAGGGCAAACATGAGTAAATAGTAGTGAAAGCTTTTTAAAACTACAATAATAATAATATCTTGTAGAAATATAAAATGCAATAAAAAAGTGTATTACAACAATGGCACAAGGGTGAGAGATACACAAATACATGGAAGTAAACTTGTAAGGATCTTGCATTCTTTGGGAAGTGGCCAAAGTACTAATAAGAGAACATATTGTGATCTTGAGGGAAATGACTAAAAGTTTCATTACAGCTGCAAAGCTAATACAGGAGATTCATAGCCAACAATTGGAAATTACCCAAAAATTCATCAATAAAAGAATGGATAAACAAATCCATTGTATGAATTCCATTCATATAATGGAAGAGTACATAACAGTGGAAAGGAATGAACTAAAAATATCAACCAAAAATTGGAGGAATATCAAAACATTTTGCTAAGGGAAATGAGCAAGACACAAGGTGACATACTGTATGATTCCATTTATATGTTCAAGAAGAGGCAAAACTAATCAATGGTGATAAGAGATTGTTTTGGAAAGGACACAGGAAACTTCCTAGGTAATGGAAATGTTCTATATGTTGATCTGAATGCGGGTAAAGAGAGAGAAGGAGGAAGACAGAAAGAGAGAGTCATTGAATAATACTGAAGTTCTGAGCTAAGAGTCCTTAATGGATATACAAATATTAAAAGGAGCCTTCTTAAATTGTACCACACACTTTAACCTGGATTCATAAAGCATCAAAGGTAGAAGGGATATAGAGGGATCATTTATTCCAATCTCCTCAATTTTACAGATGAATAAACAGACACAGAAGAATAGTTGCTGTATTAGTCCGTTCTCACACTTCTATAAAGGACTGCCCGAGACTGGGGAATTTTTCTTTTTTTTGAGATGGAGTCTCATTCTGTAGCCAGGCTGGAGAGCAGTGGCACAGTCTTGGCTCACTGCAACCTCTGCCTTCCGGGTTCAAGTAATTCTCCTGCCTCAGCCTCCTGAGTAGCTGGGAGTGCAGGCACATGCCAACACACCCAGCTAATTTTTGTATTTTTAGTAGACACAGGTTTTCACCATGTTGGCCAGGATGGTCTCAATCTCTTGACCTCATGATCCACCCACCTTAGCCTCCCAAAGTGCTGGGAGTACAGGCATGAGCCACTGCGCCCAGTGAGACTGGGTAATTTATGAAGAAAAGAGGTTTAATTGACTCACAGTTCCACAGGCTGTACAGGAAGCATAACTAGGAAGCCTCAGGAAACTTAACAATCATGGTAGAAGGTGAAGGGGAAGCAAGCATGTCTTACCATAGCAGAGCAGGAGAGAAAGAGTGAAGGGGGAAGTGCCACACATTTTTAAAACATCAGGTCTCATGATAACTCACTCATTATCATGAGAACAGCAAGGGGGAATCTGCTCCCATGATCTAATCAGCTCCCACCAGGTCCCAATTCAACATGAGATTTGGGTGGCAACACATAGCCAAACCATATTATGCCACCACTAGTCCCTGCCAAATCTCGTGTCCTTCTCACATTTCAAAACACAAGCATGCCTTCCCAAAAGTCCTCCAAAGTCTTAACTCCTTCCAGTATTAACTCAAAAGTCCAAGTCCAAAGTGTCATCTGGAACAAGGCAAGTCCTTTCCACCTATGAGCCTATAAAACCGAAAACAAATTAGGTACTTCCAAGATCCAATAAGGGTACAGTCATTGTGTAAATGCTCCCATTCCAAATGAGAGAAATTGGCCAAAACAAAAGGGCTACACGTCCCATGCTAGTCTGAAATCCAGCAGGGGAGTCATTATATTTTAAAGCTTCAAAATAATCTCCTTTGACTTTGTCTCACATCCAGGATACACTAATGCACTGGGTGGCCTCCCAAGGCCTTGGAAAGTTCTGCCCCTGTAGCTTTGCAGCATACAGCCCCCATGGCTGCTTTCACAGGCTGGAATTGAGTGCCTGTGGCTTTTCCAAGCACATGGTGCAAACTGTCAGCAGATCTACCATTCTGGGATCTGGAGGACAGTGGCCCTCTTCTCATAGCTTCACTAGGCAGTGCCCCAGTGGGGACTCTGTGTGGGGCCTCCAACCCCACATTTCCCTCCTGCACTGCCCTAGTAGATGATCTCTATGAGGTCTCCACCCCTGCAGCAGACTTCTCCCTGGACATCCACACATCCTCTTAAACCTAGGTAGAGGCTCCCAAACCTCAACTCTTGCCTTCTGCACACCTGCAGGCCCAACACAATGTGGAAGTCACCAAGGCTTGGGGCTTACACCCTCTGAAGCAATGGACAAGCTGTATCTTGCCCCTTTTAGCCAATGCTGCAGCTGAAGTCTCCATGATGCAGGGTGCCATGTCCCTAGGCTGCACAGAGCAGTGGGTCCCTGAGCCTGGCCCATAAAACCATTTTTGCCTCCAGGCCTGTGATGGGAGGGGTTGCCTTGAAGTTCTCTGAAATATCTCAGAGGCATTTTCCCCCTTGTCTTGGCTATTAACATTCAGCTCCTCTTTACTTATGCAAATGTATGCAGCCTTCTTGAGTTACTCCCGAGAAGATGGGTTTTCTTTTCTACCACACGGCCAGGCTGCAAATTTTCTGAACTTTTATGCTCTGCTTCCCTTTTAAATGTAAGTCCCAGTTGCAGGTCATTTCTTTGTTTATGCAAATAAGCATAGGCTTTTAGAAGCAGCCAGACCACCTCTTGAATGCTTTGCTGCTTAGAAATTTCTTCCAACAGATACCCTAAACCAACTCTCTCAAGTTCAAAGTTCCATAGATCCCTAGAGCAGGGGCACAATGCCATCAGTCTCTTTGCTAAAGCATAACAACAGTGACCTTTACTCCAGTTCCCAATAAGTTCCTGATCTCTATCTGAGATCACTTCAGCCTGGACTTCACTGTCCGTATCACTATCAGCATTTTGGTCACAACCATGCAGCAAGTCTCTAGGAAGTTCCAAACTTTCCCTTATCTTCCTGTCTTCTTCTGATCCCTGCAAACTGTTTCAACCTCTGCCTGCTACCCGGTTCCAAAGTCACTTCCACATTTTCAGGTATCTTTACTGCAATGTCCCACTTCTCTGCTACCAATTTTCTGTATTAGTTTATTGCTATAAAGAACTACCTGAGACTGGGTAATTTATTTTTAAAAAGAGGCTTAATTGACTCTCAGTTCCATACGCTGTGCAGGAGGCATGGCTGGGGAGGCCTCAGGAAACTTACAATCATGGCATAAAGTGAAGAGGAAGCAAGCACATATTCACTTGGCCAGCAGGACAGAGAGTGAAGGGGGTGGTGCTACACACTTTTAAACAACTAGATCTTGAGAGAACCCATTATCACAAGAACAGCAAGGGGGAAATCTTCCCCCAGGATCCAGTTACCTCCCACCAGTTCCCTCCCACAACATTGGGGATTACAATTCAACGTGAGATTTGGGTGGGGACACAGAGAAGCGCCAAACCATATCAGATGCCTTGTCACAGTCTATCATGCAACTTGTAAATGGAAGAGCCAGTGCTAGGATCCAGTTATCTTGTATCCACTGCAGCACTTGCTCAGAACCACTTTTTATGAAAAATTCAAATTCCATAAGAATTAAATGAAGGCAGAAGACAAATAATATAGCATTCTAAAATTAATTCATACAGTTCATAAGTCAGAAGACAAATAATATAGCATTCTAAAATTAATTCATACAGTTCTTTTATTCCAAACTTAATCTTAGTTGTCTCATTAAATGAAAGTTTCTGGGTTGACCACTGATGAAGACATAGACAGAAGCTATGAATTTTACACATACTTTGATCACATTTTTTCCTGCCTGAATTATTAGAAGAATAACACGTTTCAGTGTGCTTGATTGCTAAGTGAGACAGATAAGTGTAAGATTATTTTTCAAGCAATATACTTGCTCATCTTTCAGGAAGCACTTTACTCACGATTACATGTGCACTTAGATAAAAGTACAGTTTTTATCTTGATTGTCACTCATGATGTAATTATTCATAAACTTAAGAAAAGAAGTTTCTTTCAGCATGACAAATGGTTCTCATGCTGGTGACATGACACTTTTGATCTGTTATGTGAAGGGAAAGGTTTTTCTTCCACCTACCTAAAATTTTCCCCAATACAAGAAATTTGACAGCACTGAATTCTGTACCTGACAGGATGACTTGTCTCCTTGCATTCTGTTAACCTAACAATTTCTTCCAATAGAAGCATTCAAATGAAGAGTAACTTTGTGATAAAAAGACAGGAAGCAAAGGGAAACCAAGGAAAAAAATCATAAAATAAACCACCTGTTAGTGCTACCAAAAAGGTTAAGAGATCAATTCCAAGATTTATATACTAAGAGGAAAATATTTTTAACCAACTTATAGAATGTCATAAGCTGCCACTCCATCTGCTATCTCCTTTCCCGATTTACTTTGCTTCATAGGATATCTATAACTGGGAGGATCTACAAAGAAATACAATGCATTACTTTATACCTCAAACCTTTTAACTAAGAATAAAATATTACATGAGGCAGAGAAATGTTCTATCTATAGATTTAATATCTAAATGATTTTCTTCAAAAGCCAGCAACAGAGTAAAATTTATTTTGTGGTGACTTTTCATTATTTATCCTCATTTTAATCAAAATCAGGTTGTTTTTCTTGTTCTAAATTGCTATTATATATAGCATTTGTGGTTTGACAATTCAATGAAAATTGGTTTTCACCGAAATATCAATTCAAAGTTTCTACCAGTAGTATCCAGCGATAAAATCGACTGTTTCCTTATGAACTAAAAGCAAAACTTGACATCTAAGTAATCAAATGTTAATAATAGCTTGGATAGATTCTCATTGTTAAACAAAAGCAAAGCAAAGAACAAAAGCAAAACCAAACAAAATGCTGTAATTATATTTGACTTCACTTCTTACTTATACATACATACATATATATATATATATGTATATCATTGGTTGGGCATTGTTTCCCAGTCATTTATTATCAAATGTTTGTGTAAAGTCATTGATGCTAGCAAGTCATAATTTTAATTATTGCATTACCTCTACAATTTCTTCTTTCATGTTCATTTTAAAATGGTGAAACTGCTATCAGCTAAGTTTTTTAAATCAAAGTAAAAGGAATCCGAATCTTGATGTCAGTCTAGCCTGTACCTGACCTGCAAACTCCCTAAAAAGGAAAAAAAAAAAACTGTATTTAAAACTTCTCATGTAGAGTCAAGGATCTTTTTAAGTCCCCCTTCCTGGAATATTGATTACTTAAGTGCTTTTCCAGAATCTCTGAGCTCAGTTACAGTCAGCCCTTCCTATCCCTAGGTTCTACATCCATGGATTCATCCAGTCATGGATAAAATATCTTCAAAAATTAAAAATAACACAAATTTTAAAACAGTATGTAAAACAACGATTTATATAGTGTTTACATTGCATTGGGAATTATAAGTAATCCAGAGATTATTTAAAGAGAGAGTGTATGTGTGGGTTACATGCAAATACTTCATCATTTACATAAGGAACTCAAGCATCCATGGGTTTTGGTATCCCCAGGGAGTCCTGGAACCAATGCGCCACCAATACTGTGTTAAGTATCAAGACAAATGGATTAATGATAAGCTGTGTCTTCTCTACAATTCTTTCACCATGTTTTTCCTTTAGAAAAACACTAAAGTAAGTATGAAAAGCTTTGGCTCTAATTTCTCATAAATTACTTATAATTTGATATTTACAAATATAATTATGAATTATAAGTTGATATCGTATTGCAATAACATTTTGTTTCTATAATCATGCCTCTTTTTAATGTGATTTTCTCGTGTATTTTAATATATTGCAGAAATGCAATAACTGAAGAACTTGTTTTTTGTACAGTGAGAAATTTGTATACAAAGTCTTCTACCATAATAAAAAAAATGAAGAGGAGCACCAAAACAAGTAATTTGCCAAGAGTCAGTTTTCCTTGGATTCGTATATTCCAATTCCCCTGCCACCACCCCACACAGACATGTTCACATTTGCCACCACTCTCTCACTGCCTGCAATGAGATCTAGTTAGCCAGAGTTGTTTTTCAGGCTTTTTCAGATATTATGTTCATGTTTTGACTTGCCATGTAGCATAGTTAAGGAGGCCTGGCTTTGTTTTCCTACTGTGAAAGGTTTGGAGAGTTTGATGTCCCACTGGGCTGAATGAATGACAGTCAATTCAACTTTCTTCCTCACGTAGGTATGCATAAGTGACTTCTCAACTATTAGAAAGTTACTTTTAAGTAGGATTCACTTGAGTAATAACCACCTTAATATTTCTCTTCTTCTCTTAAAAGGAAGAGAAACATTTGCCATATAAAATACTGTATATCTTATTCCAATATGTGGCAAATTTGATTTTTATTATTCATATGCAATACTAAAGACCCTCAGCAACATTTCAAATCAGAGTTTCACATGAAATATGTAAAATTGCCAAACTTGAACTGAAAGGCATCTTAATTTCATCATTGAAATGCTAACTTTTGCAATAAATATTTTGAATATTACTGAAAAATAAAAGAGAATGAAAGTTGGAGGGCATGTCATATTTTTATCTGTAGCTTGAACACTGCGATGATCCACCTCATTGCCATAATATTTTTATAATTTAATTTTCTCATTAACTCTCATTCACTTTAAAAAATATTTGCCATGTTGCACAAGGATAACCAAAAGATATTCCTCAGAGAAGGCACACACATAAATCAGTAAGCTTGGAGCTCATGTCTATTATGTAGTTTTGGAATTATTCCAAAGACTTGCATAGTTTGCTACGTTTTGCTGTAACAAGAACTTAGACCGTACTCCCTCCAGCCCTCAAGAATGCGATGTCTGCCGGGAGCGGTGGCTTCTGCCTGTAATCCCAGCACTTTGGGTGCCCGAGGACGGAGGATCATGAGGTCAGGAGTTTGAGAGTAGCCAGTTCGAGACCATCCTGGCCAACATGGTAGACCCCGTCTCTACTGAAAATACAAAATTAGCCGGGTGTGGTGGCGTGCGCCTATAATCCCAGCTACTCAGGAGGCTGAGGCAGCAGAAACACTTGAACCCAGGAGGCAGAGGTTGCAGTGAGCTGAGATCAGGCCACTGCACTCCAGCCTGGGTGACAGAGCAAGACACCGTCTCGTGGGGGGAAAAAGAATGCAATGTCAAAACTCATCAGACCCATCATATGTGAGTTACTGACCTCAACCACTGGATTTCAAAATACATATAAACATAAGAGCTCGATGAACACTTTGAGAACTTCAGTAAGTCTCAGCCACTTCTCCAAAAATGGAGAGCATATTCTGTGACAGGGTTGCCCTGCCAGTCAATTCTTGGAAGACTGAACTCATGCAGCAACAGAGCCCCACCCTGTCAGCAGCTGAGCTTTGAAGCCTCGCCTGCATCACTGGCACCACCCACTGGTGTCAAGGGACCCCAGGTGTCTTTGAGGATCTCCATGGTGTCAAGACACCATCTCTCCAGAGAATTCGCTTGAAAAAAAGGTGCACCTCAAACTTTCATTCGATTTGCCTTTCCACAGAGGCCTGCTTCCATTTCTACTTCAGGAACTAGACTTTAATATTTGGAACTCACTCCCTCTGTGGTTAATGTGCCTCATCTTTTGAGTGTATTCCCTGTAGATTTGTTCACATTATTCTTCTCCTTTTTGAGCATTGTGAACTTAAGAAAACAAATTCTCCTTGCATGGCAATAACCATGTGATTTGTGAAATCATACTTTGAGCATCTTATTTTAACCATACAAAACAGCGTGGCTCAGAAATTCAATGTGATCTTTCCTCTGGTCAGTGACATATCCCCATGAAGTGAAGCAGCAAGGCAGTAAAGGAACAGGGGTTTTAGTTAAGGGGTAAAATGGGTAATCTTCTTGGAAATTACAAGCAACTGAAGAGCTCATTCCAAAATATGCAGAAATCTCCGAAATCATACATACTTTTTATGTTAGCAAAACTTAAGTGCAAGGAGTCATAATTTAGGTTTATTTAAAGAATGTCTCCAGTCTTGAAATAACCTGGGTGATAAAATAATAATACAATCTTTACTTTTATCTACTTGTTTCTTTTTAATTTTAGCACATTTAATATAAGACATAAAGTAAAATATAACAGTTCTTCAATACATATTTTTCAGAACTAAATAACATTTAAGGGAGATATGCTGATAGTCTTCAAAATATTTTCATCTTAGATTACATATCATTATTTTTTGGTATCAATTTCTAATTTAAAGCTATTTTCCCACTTAGGATCCTAGTTTTTATTTAAATTTTATTTAATTTTTATCTCCTCTTTTTTCATCTATTGTTTTACAGATCGCTTACAATAATTTTCCCTCAGTGCATAGAAAGGAGTGAGCTTGACAACCACCCACCCCCTTGAAAATCAATAGAAGTTGTCTTTTATAATAAAGCTCTCCCTTATTTACTGGAGAAGTGAAGCTAAGTATACAGATGCATCAGCCTGAGTCAGAAAGAGAAGCAGATATTGCTCAGCAGGAAGCCAGGATAGTGAGATTTCCAACTTCCTCTAGGTCGTTTTGTGAAAGGTGGTATCATTTTATGTTAAGACAAATTCCCAGAAATGTTACCACCCTCCACACACACATACACACACACACACACACACACACACATACGGAGGCAAGGAGGAGGCTACTGTGTCTTGGGCACTTGCCTAGGCATTGCCTGAAAATTACAGATAATTGTCACTAACCAATCTAATTGCAACTGTTAAACGAAATAACCCTCAATTCAGAGTTATTTCCTATTCAAATGCAATACAGTTTTTGTTTCTAATATATTAGGTTGCACAGAAACACTAAGATTGTACTTAAATATGGACTGAGGACCATTTTAAACGTTACAGTAAAGAAGTGATCACAATTTCATCTGGTTATATTAAAAGTGTTCTGGAATGGTATTGGGAATTGATTTTTTTTTTTTGAGATGGGGCTCTCACTATGTTGCCCAGGGTGGTCTCTATCTTCTGGGATCAAGTGATCCTTCTGCCTCAGTTTCCCATGTGGCTGGTACTACTGGTGCATGCCACTGTGTCTGTCACATTTTTTAAAATCATAAACTGATTCTAAATTATAAATAAATCAAAAGGAAAGGCAGAGGACTTACTATGCTGCTATCTTGACAACATCAAAGTAACTAATCCCCAAAAGTTTATTCAAAAATCACAAGTTGTTTCCATCTTAGACCCAATTTCTGTACCAAATAAAGCCTATTATACTCCATAATGAAAAGTACAGATAATGAAAAGTACAGAGCCCAACGATGCTTAAATGATGCTATGTAATCTAATAGCTTTGATGAGTCAGTTTCCAAGATATATAATTATATTCAAAGAGTTCTGTCTGGTTCTGTTGATACTACAATCAAATTCTTCCTTCGCTGCAGACAACTTGTACTTAAGCAGAAGCTGAGTCATGCCCCCCACTATACGCCTCCAACAACAGATATGCCAAAGTCCTAGAGCTAAATGTCTGAGTGGTCCTGTTTTATAACAGATCAATAGTTCCTGAAATTAGTATTTGCCTTCCAGGCTAAAATATTTTTTCTACAGTGTTCCAAATATTCTTGCATTTCTTAGTCATTGTCATAAATAGCAATGATGCTTTGATAATCCTGATAACAAACTACTTCCAAACTGCAGCAACAGAAGGAAAATGGTAGGATATACACAAAATCCTTTGAGAGATCCAGAGAGGACTGATATTAGATATAAAAGCAATAACCTGTGGCTTTTCAAAAAGAGAAGCACATTTCTTCGCAATTAAAACTAGGAATTCTCGACAGATATAGTTCACTTTCAAGTGACTAGAATTGTCTCATTCCTTATAATGTCAAATGAAATATTCTTTGTTTCCTATGTTCACCGGCTCCTTGTTCACACTTACTATTTGAGCAGAACAGTCCATCATACATCGAGAAGGCACAGTCACAAGCGATCCCTCTGTGTTTCTCTCACATCTCCCTCGGAGGTGACACACGTGGCCATAGCTATGCAGTGTCCAGCATGCCCTGGCTCCACTCTTGGAGTCACTGTGGCTCTTTCTTTCAGATCCGGGATCGTCCCTTCAACTGCAGAAAATGAATGCATTCCAGAAAGCCTGGGTCTGGTGGCCATTTCACCTGCAAGGGAAGCATTACAAATACAAACACATTCCTCTGTGTTTTATTCAAGATTTCATCACTGGGTCAAACTGAGGCCTTATGGAGAATAGCAGAAACTGTGATCACTCAAAAGGTCTCAAGAACAAATATAATTTTGGAAACATACATTTAATGAAATGTTAAGTAATGGCAAATTACTTCATTTATTTATTTACTATATATATTCATATTTTACTTGACACATAATAATTGTACATATTTATGGGGTACAGTGGGATATTTCAGTATATGTATACAATGTATAATGACCAAATCAGGGTAATTAGCATGTCCATCACCTCAAACCTTTATCATTTCTTTGTGTTGGTAACATGAAAAATCCTCTCTCCCAGCTATCTGAAAAAAAAGACAACACACTGTTGTTTACTGTGGTTACCCTATAGTGCTATACAACACTAGAACTTATTCCACCAACTAACTGTAATGTTGCAGAAGACAATACTGACCACATTTGTGAGATATTATCCTAATATGAATGATAATTATAGGTGGGGTTTTATGCTAACATAGCTGCCAAGAACTCCATAAATGAATGCCCACAACTGTAAGTGAGAAAACAAGATTATTCAATTTGGTCTGTGTGTGTGTGTGTGTGTGTGTGTGTGTATGTGTGTGTGTGTGTGTTGTTTCTATTCTCAGGCAGGGAGTTGGTTTTAGTTCTTTTTTTAAGAGGCCCAACCTCATGCTACTGTAAGAATTAACTGCAAGTTAATTATTGCAAGTTGAAGTTATTTATAAGACTATGGTATGTATATACAAACACACAATTCTGAATTCACTGTGTAATATTAGTACTCAAAATCATATATATTGTACAGGAGAACAACCTGTCTGATAATTCATGAGTTATCTCAGTCTCTAATTGGACAGTACAATTATTTACCTTAAAACAGATTAGAAATCACCAACAGAGAGCTTTTTTTTTAAACTAAATGCAAGCAGAGTAAAAAGAAATGTAGAGTAGAAAGAAATGAAGCAAAATATAGGTCTTCCTTTGGGAAAAAAGTCAAGACACAAAAGCAGTTGAAGAGATGTCTTTCATTTCCTAGAGTGATACACATATTTAGTAGTTCGGTAGTTAATTTTTGTTTAACAGCCATATTGAGGCTTTATTGGCATATAATGAATACACATGCTTAAAGTGCAGGACTTGTTAAATTTTTACTTATGTATACAACCATGAAACTATCATCACAATTAAAATAAGGAATATATCCATCACCCCAGCAAAATATTCTCCTCCCTCTTGATAACCCCTCCCCCATAACCTCCCTGCTTCCCTCAAATCCCTGGCAACCACAGATCTGATCTCTCTCATGATTAGTTTCTATTTTCCAGAATGTCATATAAATGGAACCACATAGTATTTACTTTTCTTTATCTGGCTTTTTCTTTCAACAGAATTATTTTGAAATTCATTAATGTGTGATATGTATCAATAGTTCATTCCTTTTTATTGCTGAGTAGTATCTCGTTGTGTGAATATAGCTCAGTTTGTGTGTTCATTCATTTGAAGATGGGCATTTGAATTGTGTCCAGTTTTCATCCGTTATAAATAAGCTACTATGACCATTTATGCACAGATGGTCATATGAAAATATCCTTTCATTTCTCTTGGGTAAATACCTAGACAAGAATAGCTATGTCATATGGTAGGTATCTGTTTAACATTTAAGAAACTGCCAAATTGTTTTGCAGAATGTTTGTCTTTATGCCAAATTGCTTTGGTTGATTTTATTATGGTAAACTAAACTTGAATTACTGGTATAAGTCAATTTTTTGAAACTTTGTTAAGTTTTTTTGCATCTGTGGTCATGAAGGACTGTATTTTTATTTTTTTAAAATGTCTGTCTAGGCTGGGCACGGTGGCTCACGCCCATAATCCCAGCACTTTGGGAGGTCAACGTGGGTGGATCACGAGGTCAGGAGGTCAAGACCAGCCTGGCCAACATGATGAAACCCTGTCTCTACTAAAAATACAAAAAATTAGCCGGGAATGCTGGTGGGCACCTGTAATCCCACCTACTCGGGAGGCTGAGGCAGGAGAATCACTTGAACCCGGGAGGCGGAGCTTGCAGTGAGCCAAGATTGCATCACTGCACTCCAGCCTGGGTGACAGAGCGAGACTCCATCTCAAAAAAGAAAAAAAAAAATGTCTGTCTGAATGTGGTGTCAGAATAATGCTGGACTTATAGAATGAGTTCAAAAGTATTCTCTCCTCTTCAATCTTCTGAATGAGTTTATGTTTATTTGTTATTTCTTCCTTAAATGTTTGCTAGAAAACTCCAGCGAAGCCATCTGGGCCTGGAATTTTTTTTGTGGGAAGGTTTTTAACTATAAACTCAATCTAATTAATAGACTATTCATGTCATCTATTTCTTCTTGAGTCAGTGTTAGTAGTTTACATCTTTCAAGGAATTTGTCTTTTCTTCTAAGCTGTCAAACATACTGGCATACAGCTTTGCATTGTAATCTCTTATTATGCCTTTTAATATATGTAATGTATGTAGTGAGATCACCTCTCTCATTACTGATATTGGTAAATTTTGTCTTTTTTTCTCTCATTGATGGCAGCAGCTGCTGCCATCATGCAGGCTACAGCAGGGAGGTATGGCTGGGTCTGCATACTCCATGAAGCTGGTGGGAGCCCCACCCCTTCTGAGTTGGGGTGAGTTCCCTGGTGCGGCTGCAGACCCAGGCCTCCTGCTCTACGGAGCAGGCTGTAGCCCACCCCAAACTGCAGCTGTGGATCCAAGCTTCCCTGTGCTCTTGGAGGGGGCTGGGAACCGACAGGATCTGCCCTCCTGGGTGCAGCTGCAGCCACCCAACCCACTGCTGCAGACCTGGGCTTCCGGCTCCATGGAGCAGGCAGGAGACCGGGACAAGCAGAAGCCCCGCCCCTTCTGAGTTGGCTGGGTGGGAGCTCCCTGGGTGCAACTGAGGCCACCGTCTCAGGCGCAGGACCCTGGCATCTTGGCAGCCTGCACCCGCCACCCCCAACTGGCTCTGGGATGTCTGCTCTCACTGCCTGGCCTCTCTCCTCTTCTGTCACCAGCTTTAATCTCCCAACAGGGTTGGTCGAGCCCTGGGGCCTTGAATGGCAGGGGGAGGGAGAGTCCTGGGCAGAAGCGGATGGGTCCCCAGTAAAGCCCCACCTTCAAGCCAGGGAGGGCCTGAAGGCTGGGAGCCAGACTGCCAATCCTGTGGACAGGACTGGGGATCTGTCCCTCCTCTGGGCCGCCAATGGCTGCTCATGGACCAATTGGCAGGTACTTCCTCCCCTCTGAGGTCCATAAAAGCCCTGGGCTCTACCAGAGAGGGCAGAGGACAGAGAGACGATGGGATGACCAGCTGCAGAGACGAACTCTCCCCTCTACTGAGAGCTTCAGAGACCTGCAGAGACCTCCAAATGACCAGCCTGCGGAGAGCAGCCAGGCTCGCCAGGGCCTCCTCTCTGCTGAAAGCTGAACACTCCACCGGACGACCTGCCTGCAGAGAGGAGCTACCCACTGTGGGTCTTCTCTGAGCTGTTCTAACACTAAATAAAACTCCTCTTAATCTTCTTCGCCCTTCCTTTGCATACCTCATTCTTCCTGGATGCAGGACAAGAACTCAGGCAAAGATGCCACTGTCCACAGAGGTTTCTGGGCAAGAAAATCGACACCCCAAAGATCCTGTAACATCATGATTGGCTGTCTCCACATTTACATCATACAATTCAATTACAAACCACTGCAAAGCAGCACTTATTGATGAAGAGCTGGCTCGTGAGCTGTAAGTGGACATGCCATCAGTGGTGGCAGGTTGTAGCTTATTAACTTGAAATGATACTTCTTTTACATTCCTCTCTGCCCTCACGTGGTGCTAATAATTGTCATAAAAGGGAGTATATGACTCCACCATGACCTCAAAAGGCCTATTCCCCATCTCAAAGGAAAATGTCACTTTCCTGGTGCTAGAAATTGTAGATATGAGAGTTGCTCAAGTTCATTTATAGTGAAGAGAAGTTAGTAGTGTATTTATAGAAGCCTAACACTATGATATGCATATATTTTTTAAATACTATAGAAGGAGCCAATGGCAGTGATCCAGAAAATATATCCTTTTCAGTTGAGATAGAAGAGCAAAAGAAATCTCTATTCCTATTGCAGAGAAAAAATAGTAAATATATTTGCTCATAACAACATAACTAAACTGTTTGTGGCTTAATAAATAAAAATATAGTTATTTAAAGGTGGTTCAAGGTTTCGTATATAATCTTACATTCTCCAAATGTGAATTTGCACAGTAACGAATTAAAAATAAAACAAAGCAATATTACTTGTCAATTCAATCAAATAACTTTGTAATTTAGCAGAAAATAAATTGTACCAGTTTGGTTTAAAGCCCTAACTACACATCTATAGTTTCCTTAAATTAATTAAAAGAAGTCATGCAATTTTCACAGAATATCACATGCATGTTATCCATTTTAATTTCTCTTAAAAATGGGTTAGTTGCCATTATCAAACTTTAGACAAGAAATCAAACAGATAAAGTAACAATGAAAGCAACTTAGACATTAGCTGAAGGGTTTACTCCTAATTGCTGAGTACCCATGCTTTATCCACAAAGGGTGATTTACCATTTCTATAAACTGATAGTGAGTTATTCAAAATGGAAATTAAGAATACAATCCCGGCTGGACGCAGCGGCTCACGCCTGTAATCCCAGCACTTTGGGAGGCCTAGGTGGGCAGATCACCTGAGGTCAGGAGTTAGAGTGACCAGCCTGACCAACATGGTGAAACCCTGTCTCTACTAAAAAATACAAAAAAAATTAGCCGGGCATGATGGCGGGTGCCTGTAATCCCAGCTACTCGGGAGCCTGAAGCAGGAGAATCGCTTGAACCTGGGAGGCAGAAAAAAAAAGAATGCAATCCAATTACAATAGCAACAAAAAACTTATAAAATACTTAGGTGTAAATTTAACCAAGGAGGTGAAAGAACTGTACACTGAAAACTATAAAACACTGATGAAAGAAAATGGAAGAAAACACAAATAAATGGAAAGATATTTTATGTCCACAAAGTAGAACAATTAATAGTTTAGTTTTTATTTTTAATTTTTATGAAAACATAATAGTTGTACATATTTATAGAGTACCTGTGATATTTTGATACAAGCATACAGTGTGTAATGATCAGATATGGGTAACTGGGATATTCATTACCTCAAACATTTATTGTTTCCTTGTGTTGAGAAAGTTGTGAAATACAAAATAAATTACTGTTAACTATAGTTGCCCTATTGTGGTACTAAACACTAGATCTTACTCCTTCTATCTATCTAACTGTATTTTTATATCCATTAACCAACCCCTTTTCATGCCCTCCTCCCACTACCCTTCCCAGTTTTTGCTAAACACCATTCTGTTCACTACCTCCCATTTTTTTAGCCCACACATATGAGTAAGAGCATGATATTTGTCTTTCTGTACCTGGCTTATTTCACTCAACTTAATGTCCTCCAATTCCATCTATGTTGCTACAAATGACAAAATTTCATTCTTTCTTCTGGCTGAATAATATTCCATTGTGTATATATACCACATTTCCTTTACCCATTCATTCACTGATGGATACTTAGGTTGATTCCATATTTTGGCTATTGTGAATAGTGCTGCTGCAATAAACATGGGAATGAAGATATCTCTCTGATACACTGAGTTCTTATCTTTTGGCCATATACCAACTAGTGGGATTGCTGGATCATATGGTAGGTCTATGGTTAGTTTTATTGACAAATCTCCACACTGTTTTCCAGTGTGGAGATTTCCAGTAGCTGTACGAATTTACATTCCTACCAGCAGTGTATGAGCATTTCCCTTTCTCCACATCCTCCTTATCATTTGTCATTTTCTGTCTTTTTGATAATAGCCACTTTAACTGGGGTGCAAGGATATCTCATTGTGATTTTGATTTGCATTTCTGTGATCATCAATCATGTTGAGCATTTTTTCATTTATGTGTTGGCCATTTGATTTTCTTCTTTTGAGAAATATGTCTATTCAGATCTATTATCCATTTCAAAATCAGGTTATTTGTTGTTGTTGTTGTTGTTTTTTTTTTTTTTGCTATTGAGTTGTTTGAGCATCATGGTGTATTCTGATTATTAATCCCTTATCAGATGAATACTTTGCAAATATTTTCTCCCATTCTGTAGGTTGTCTCTTCACGTTGTTGATTTTTTCCTTTCCTGTGCAGAAGCTTTTTCACTCGATGTAATCCCATTTGTCAATTTTTGCTGTGGTTTCCTGTGCTTTTGAGGTCTTACTCAATAAATCTTTGCTCGGACCAATGTCCTGAAGGATTTTACCTAAGTTTTGTTCTAGTAGGTTCACAGTTTTGAGGCTTACATTTAACTCTGTAATCCATTTTGAGTTGATTTTTGTATATGGTGAGAGATCAGGGTCAAGTTCCACTCTTCTGCATATGGTTACTCAGTTTTCCCAGCACCATTTATTAAAGATACTGTTCTTTCCCCAGTGTATGTTCTTAGGGCCTTTGATGAAAATCAGTTGGCTATAAATACATGGATTTGTTTCTGTGTTCTCTATTTCATTCCTTTGGTGTATATGTCTGTTTTTATGCCATAAACATGCTTTTTATTTTTTATCACTGCAGCTTTGTAGTATATTTTGAAGTCAGATAGTGTGATGTCTCCAGCTTTGTTCTTTTTGTTCAGGGTTGCTTTGTATATTCAGGCTTTTTTGTGATTTCACATGAATTTTAGGCTTGCTTTTTCTATATCTGTGAAGAATGCCACTTGATAGGAATTGTCTTGAGTCTATAGTTAACATTGGGTAGCATGGACATTTTAACAATATTAATTTTTCTAATTCATGAATATGAGTTTTTTTATTTTTTGTGTCCTCTTCAATTTCTTTTATCAGTGTTTTAAAGTTTTTATTGTACAGATCTTTTACCTCTTTGGTTAAATTTATTCCTAGGCATTTTATATTTGTGTAGCTAAGGTGAATGGGATTGCTTCCTTGATTTTCAGATTGTTCACTATTGGCATATAGAAACGCTACTGGTTTTTGTATGTTGATTTTGTATTCTGCCACTTTGCTGAAATAGTTAACCAGTTGTAACAGCTTTTTGGTGAAGTCTTTATAGCTTATCCTAAATATAAGATCATGTCATTTGCAAACAGTGACAATTTGACTTCCTCTTTTCCAATGCCCTTTATTTCTTTTTTAATAGCTCTGTGTAGGACTCTTTCACCACTTTTCAATAAAAGAAAACGATGTGATTGACCACTTTTTAATAAAAGTGGTGAAAGTAAATATCCTTGTCTTGTTCTAGATCTTAGAGGAAGGATCTTAGGGAAAGTGAATATCTTTGTCTTGTTCTATGTTAGAGAAAAGGCTTTCAACTTTTCCCTATTCAGTACGATGTTAACTGTGGGTTTATCATATACTAACATTAATGTTTTAAGGTATGTTCCTTCTATACCTAATTTGTTGAGAGGGTTTTTTTTAATCACAAAGAGGAGTTGAATTTTATCAAACACTACTTCTGTGTCTATTGAGATAATCACAAGGTTTTGTTCTTTTTTCTCTTGATGTGATGTATGTGATGTATCACATTTATTGATATTTGTAGGTTGAAGCATCCTTGCATCCCTGGGGGAAAATACCACCTGATCATGGTGTATAATCTTTTTTCTGTGCTGTTGGATTTTGTTTTCTAGGGTTTTTTTTTTAAAGAGTTTTGCATTTATGCTCATTAAAAATATTGGCCTATAGTTTTCTTTTGTTGTGTCCTTGTCTGGTTTTGGTATCAGGGTAATGCTGGCCTTAAAAAAGATTTGGAAGCATTCTCTCCCCTTTGATTTTTCAAAATAGTTTGAGAATAATTGGCATTAGCTTATCTTTAAAAATTAGGTAGGATTCATCTGTAAAGCCATATGGTCCTAGACTTTTCTTTGTTAGACTTTTTATTACTGATTCAATCACATTATTAATTATTGTTCTATTCAGGTTTCCTGTTTCTTCATGGTTCAATCTTGGTAGGTTATATGTGTCCAAGAATATATCTATTTTATAAGTTTTCAATTTGTTGATGTAAGTTGTTCATAATGGTCTGTAATGATCTTTTGTATTTCTGTTTTATCAGTTATAATGTCTCCTTTTTATCTCTGATTCTATTCCATTGAGTTTTTCTTTTCATTAGTCTACCTAAAGATTTGTTGATTTTGTCTACCTTTTCAAAACAATATTTTCATTTGGTTGATCTTTCATATTTTTAGTCTCAATTTTATTTATTTTTGTTGTGATCTTTAGTATTTCTTCTTCCTGTAATTTTGGGCTTGATTTATTCTTGCTTTTCTAGTTTCATGAGGTGCATCATTATATTTGAAATCTTTCTACCTTTTTATATAGGCATTTATTTCTATAAACTACCCCTCTTAGTACTGCTACTGCTTTTGACATATAACGTAAATTTTGGTATGTTGTGTTTCTATTTTTATTTGTTTTAAGAAATTCTTAAATTTTATTTTTAATTTCGTTATTTGCCCATTGGTTGTTCAGGAGCATGTTGTATTGGTGCATTTTCCAAAGTTCCTCTTGTTACTGATTTCTAGTTTTATTCCATTGTGGTCAAAAAAGATACTTGATCTGATTTTAATTTTTAAAAATGTGTTGAGACTTGTTTTGTGGCCTAACATATGGTCTATGCTGAAGAATGCTCCATGTGCTCATGAGAAGAATATATACACATTCTCCAGCTGTTGAATGACATTTTCTGTAAAAGTTAGGTTTATTTGCTCTAGAGTGTAGTTTAAGTCCAATGTTCCTTTGCTGATTTTCTCTTTGGATGATCTGTTCAGTGCTGAAAGTAGGGTGTTGAAGTCTCCTATTATTGAAATGCAGTCTGTCTCTCCCTTTAGATCTAATATTTGCTCTGGTGTTGGGTGGGTATATACTCATAATTGTTATACCTTCTTGCTGAATTGATGCTTTTATCATTATATAATAACCTCCTTTGTCTCTTTTTAGGATTTCTAATGTGAAGTCTATTTTATCTGATAAAACTACAACTACTCCTGCTTTCTTTTGCTTTCCATTTGCATGGAATATCTTCATGTGTCCTTACGGGTGAGGTGAGTCTTTTGTAGGCAGCATACAGCTGGGTCTTTAAAAAAATACCTCATTTAGCCACTATGTATCTTTTAACTGCAGAATTTAATCCATTTACATTCTAGGTTATTATTGACACGTATGAACTTACTCTTGCCATTGTTAAAGTGTTTTCTAGTTGCTTTGTAGAGCCTTTGGTCCTTTTTTCCTCTTTAGCTTTCTTCTTTTGTGGCTTCATGGCTCTCTGTAGTAGTATGTTTTGGTTCTTTTCCTTTTATCTTTTGTGTATCCATTACAGGCTTTTGCTTTACGACTACCCTGTGGCTTACATAAAACATGTTATAACAGGTTAATTTAAGCTGATAACAGTTAATTTTGATTGCATACACAAACTTTTCACTCTAACTTCCTTTTCTCCCATGTTTGATGTTTTTGATGTCACACTTTACATCTTTTTATAATAACAAAAATAACATAAGTAATAATTTCATATAAAATAATATAAACAAAAATAATAGGCCTCCTCAGCCACTCAGGCCTTTGCTGCTCCTCCAGAGAGGGACTTGCAAACATTCAAAGAATTTGCATGCCATCGACAAGGCCAGGAAGAACTGTGACTGGATTCACAAGCCCTTCCCAGGCCTTACTGGGCATCCTTACCTGGTGCCCACAAACAGGGAGTACTTAGAACATATTTTCTGGTGCCTCTGATGACAGGCACTGCTTTGGACTGGAGTGGAAAGTAGGGCACCAAAACCATCCCTGGGGCCTTCACTTTATAGCCAGATGCAGTCCTCCCCCCAACCAGGGGTCTTAAGAAACTTTCTGGAGACTCATTGGGCCAACCAGACCCATGCAACAAGGTGCCCTTCTCAGGCCTTCATACCTGGCCCCATCTGAGCAGCCCCCAAGGCCTTCCTGACCACTGGCTCCCATCCAGGCTCTCCCCAGTTCCATGGTCCATTCAGATTTGTCCTGGCCTCCAGAGAGGGGTTTAGATACAATTTTGCAGGGTGCCTCCTATGACCAATCCCCACTCAGTCCACCAGGTGGAAGGGATGCCCTTCCTGGCCTCCATGACTAGTTAGGGAATGTCTCAGCTAGCTAATTGGGAAAGAGAAACGTTTTCGGGAGTGCTGTATGCAACTGTGCCCCACGCAAAACTGTAGCCATGTCAGAGACCCTTCCTGGAGGCTCCCTGTGCAGCTTTGACTGATCTCTGTAGGAAATACAGACATTCCCATAGGGGAAGTGAGAAACTCTTGGAGCCATTAGTGGTACTTTTGTTTTCATGTAGTTCAAAGAATTATTTTAATTTCTGTTGAGATTTCTTCTTGACCCTTATGTTATTTAGATGTATATTTCTGAATATCCAAGTATTTTGAGATTGCCCAGCTATCATTCTATTACTGGTTTGTATAATAGGTTCCAGTGTTTTCGGAGAGCAGGTATGGCATGGTTTTTATACTTTGAAATGTGTTAAGGTGGGCTTTATGGCCCAGAATGTGGCCTATCTTGGTGAATGCTCCATGTGAGAGTGAAAAGAATATGTATTCTGCTGTCATTACACTAAGTAGACTATAGATGTTAATTACTTCCAGTTCTTTGATGATGCTGTTTAGTTCTACCATATTTTATTGATTTTCTATCTATTGGTTCTCTCTATTTCTGATAGAGGGTGTTGATGTTTACAACTATGATTGTGAATTCTTTTATTTATCCTTGCAGTTCTATCAGTTTTTTGCCTCACGTATTTTAACACTCTTGTTAGGTGCACACACATTAAGAATTGTTATATTTTCTCAGATAATTCACTTTTCGTTATCAAGCAGTGCCTATATTCATCCAGAATTATCTTTTCTCTCTGAAGTCTACTCTGTCTGAAAACTAATATAGCTGTTTCAGCTTTATTTTAATTATTGTTAACCTTGTATATCTTTTTCCATTTCCTACTTCAAATCTATATGTCTTTGCATTTAAAGTGAGTTTCTTGTAAACAATGTATAGTTGGGTCTTTTTTGTGGGGGATCAACTCAGATGAACTCATTCTTTAATTGGTGTATGTAGACCATTGACATTAAAGATGATTACAGATGCAGTTAGGTTGGTATTTATCATGTCTGTTATTATTCTCTATTTGTTGTCCTGCTTTTTTCTTCCTATTTTTGCCTTCCACTCTTTTCCTGCCTTTTGTGGTTTTAATTGAGCATTTTATATGGTTCCATTTTCTCTCCCGTTTAAGCATGTAAATTCTTCCTTTCTTTTTACTGTTAAAAAACCTTTCTATTGGTTGCCCTAGATTTTGCAATGTACATTTACCATTAGTACAAGTCTACTTTCAAGTAATACTGTATTGCTTTATGAGTAGTGCAAGTATTTTATAATAACAAAATATTTCTAACTCTTCCCTCCTATAGTTTATATCATTGCTATTATTCGTTTCACTTATCAATAAATTATAAACATCTAATAACTATTGCTATCATTATTTTGAACAAATTATTTATTAGCTGCTATATCAGTTGAAAATAAGAAAATGCAAAGTTTTTACTTCACATTCATATATTCATTTTTTATATTCTTCCTTTATGTAGATCCAAATGTCTTACTTTTCTCTTAAGAACTTCTTTTAACTTATTCCAACATTTCTTGCATGCAGGTCTACCAGCAACAAATTGCCTCAATTTTTGTTTTCTACAAAAGTCTCTGCCAGGCACGGTAGCTCACAGCTGTAATCCCAGCACTTTGGGAGGCCAAGGCAGGTGGATCACTTGAGGTCAGCAGTTCAAGACCGGCCTGGCCAACATGGTGAAAACCCACCTCTACTAAAAATACAAAAATTAGCTGGGCGTGGTGGTGTGTGCCTGTAATCCCAGCTACTCGGGAGGCTGAGGCAGAAGAATCACTTGAACCTGGGAGGCGGAGGTTGCAGTGAGCCAAGATCACGCCATTGCACTCTGCACCCCAGCCTGGGTGACAGAGTGAGACTCCATCTCAGAAAGAAAAAAAAAAAGTATTTATTTCTCCTTCACTTTTGAAGACTATTTTGTCTAAGGCATTCATGGTATCGCACTATGATTCTAATTTGCATTCTCATGAATTTGCTATTTTCATTTACTATTTCATCATGGACATTTTTCCATGTTACTACATGTAAGTCTACCGCCCTGAAGAAATAAACCAAAACGTAAATTAACGGTATTGTATAGATGTACCAGAATTTTTTAAACCTGGCTCCTCTGAATGGCTATGTTTTCTTTATTTTTTGTTATTACAAGTAATGGTGAAATCAGTATTCTTAACATCATACATGTATTTGCACCGATGTTCCCCACACCCATTTGTTGTCATTTGACTTTGTCCTGGTACGTGCACAGATAAATTTTCTTTAAACTTTATGCTATCAAGTTAATCAATCGTGTCCTTGATGGCTTTCGAGTTGTCTTTGTTGTATACATGCCTTTTTATTTTTATTTTAAGAGACAGCGGTCTATTTATGTTGCCCAGGCTGGTCTCAAACTGCTAGCCTCAAGCGATCCTCTCGCCTCAGCCTCCCAAGTCGCTAGGATTACAGGCGTGAACAACCGTGACGGGCTCTGTTCTATGCTTTAAAGATCTTCTCTGTTCAGAAATTTTAGAATTAAAGTGTTTTCAACAAAGCTTTCATGGTTGCAGTTTTTCATCCCATACCTGAGGGCGCGGTATTTTCTAAGTCCGCTTGCGCGGCTCTGGAAAGCCCGGCCTGGCAGGGCGCCCGGCCCGCAGGCTCGCGGTTAGCTTTTCCACGGGCCAGACTGGGAGTCACGTAGGGAGAGTCTGTATTCTTCCCAGCAGTCAGCATTCCCTTATGCTGCTGGGGATGCGTCGTGGTGACCTGGAGCTCCAAGAGGAGCCAGACGCGCTCCACCCACCCAGGTCTGAGAAATGCGATCCGACATGGACTGCAGCCCTTTGCTCCGGTTGTCGGGCTCCACCTGGCGGTCGATGTTACCTATTGCACTTGTTCTCTGGAGCTCCCGCGAGAGAGAAGTGGCCACTGTGCACCGGGTCGAGTTCCAGGATGTCCCTAGCGTTAGCAGGATTGTTCCGCCCACTGGCAAAGCATTCGCTCCCCATCTGTTCGTGGAAGCTTGGACCTGCAGCTTAAGCTCGGAGGAGGCTCTTAGCCCTGGATGCTCTGTGGTGGGGCAACATGCGGGTCGACCAGCAACCCCCAGTGCCTGCCCCTCCAACACGAGACCTATCGGGGTCAACACGAACCATCTTGAAAGGGTGTTTGGAGGCCTCCCCGCGTGTGTCCCCATACCAGTACCTTCCATTTGACCCCATTTTCCTCAAGTTCTGCCTCAGAGGTGGCGACCGGCAGCTGTACTCAGAGGACGTGGAGGGGGCTCCACCAGCCTGGGCTAGGTCCTGCGTCCGTCCGCATCCTCAGACCTGCCTTTTCTGAGACCCGCTTGGGAGGTGACAAAGGACTGGAGAAGAACCAGGTGCCCCGGGGAGGGCGTCTCAGATTCTGTCTGTGTGGAGCAGGACCCTGACGCCACGGGGAGGTTCCTTATGTTTTTGGCCTCTTCCCACATACCTTAACCTCTTCCCAAATACTGGGAACCCCAGGGTTCATTTGGCTGCTGAAACTGTCCAAGCTCTAGGCTGCAGGCACCAACCTATTCCAGTATAGTCCTTTGCTCCAGGACACCTGGGCCGCTTTCCTGAGGGAAGAACATTCTCTTTATCAGGCAGAGACCCTGGCCACCCATGCCATTCACAAGCTGTTCCTGCCAGATCTGCCGGCACTCAGTCATCCTGGGCCATCAGGCTACTGAGTTCCGGGAGATGGTGAATGTTCAGGGTGCTTGTGTGGCCGGCCAGAGGTGTCAGAACCCCAAGTAGCTGGGAAGTAGCCAGAGGAAAGCCAAGTCCCCAGT